>NW_016107299.1:0-154723 GCF_000001405.40 Homo sapiens | reverse complement strand
GAATTCTAGGATGAGTCAGAAAATAGTGAAACTAAGGAGATGTACCTGCTCAAGCAAGGGGAATACAGGCGTATTCACACGGAGTCTTGAGTAACCAAGTTGGGGACTGCTACCTTTACGGATTTCTTTAACCAAGGGGTGCAATATTCATGAAAATTTCAAAAAAAGGTGGAGATTTCTCAGAAATGTGGCGCTACACATTTGTATACGAAATACGGGTGTTCTCAGAACTGTCCCAGCGCTGGTGGGTGTGTGTTTAGCATGTTAATGAGCATGTAATGAGGTCCTAGGTGAAACCTAGGTTGAACCCAGCACCATGTTGGGCCCAGTCTGTCTTAGCCAGTTTGGCCCACACCCTGTTTTTTAGGGTCTTATCAGCCCACAGCCCCTAGTCATGTGAAAATGCTGCCTGGAATTTTTTTTTTTTTTTTTTTGAGACGGAGTCTCCCTCTGTCACTCAGGCTGGAGTGCAGTGGCGCAATCTTGGCTCACTGCAACCTCTGCCTCCCAGGTTCAAGCAATTCCCTGCCTCAGCCTCCCGAGTAGCTGGGATTACAGGCTTCCACCACCACACCCGGCTAATTTTTGTATTTTTGTATTTTTTTTTTTAGTAGAGACAGGGTTTCACCATCTTGGCCAGGCTGGTCTTGAACCCCTGACCCTGTGATCCGTCTGCCTTGGACTCCCAAAGTGCTGGGATTACAGGTGTCAGCCACCATGCCCAGCCTGCCTGAAATTTTTATTCTCCTGTGACCACCTTGTATTATTCCTGTCTCTTTTATATTTTTATCTTTTTAATTATACGCACACACACACACACACACCTGCACACACACACGCACACACACATATCTATGTTTATGTTTGTTTAAGAGACAGGGTCTCACTATGTTACCAAAGCTGGTGTCAAACTTCTGGGCTCAAACAATCCTCCTGCCTTAGCCTCTTGAATAGCTGGGATTATAAACATGTACTGTTGTTCCTAGACCAAACTGAGGGTTGGGCTGCTATTTCTTGTGGCCCAGTAATGAGATGCAGATGAACTGGGGAGGAATAGAGTTTTTATTTGTGCAACCGGTTACAGGGAGATGGTCTGGAAATTATCACCAGACAAACTCAAAATTATAAAGTTTTCCAGAGCTTATATACCTTCTGAGCTATATGTCTATGTGTAAGTGTGCATTCCTCTAAAGACATACGTGATTAACTTCTTTATATATATATTTTTTGAGACACAGTTTCACTCTGTCGCCCAGGCTGGAGTGCAGTGGCACGATCTTGGCTCACTGCAACCTCCACCTCCTGGGTTCAAGGAATTCTCCTGCCTCAGCCTCCCGAGCAGCTGGGACTACAGGCATGTGCCACCATGCCCAGCTAATTTGTTTTGTATTTTTAGTAGAGACGGGGTTTTGCCATGTTGGTCAGGCTGGTCTCGAACTCCTGACCTCAAATGATTCGCCCATCTCAGCCTCCCAAAGTGCTGGGATTACAGGCATGAGCCACTGTGCCGAGCTGGTTAACTTCTTTTAATCTATAACTAAGGTCTGAGTCCTGAAGACCTTCCTCTGGAGCCTCAGTAAATTTACTTAATCTAAATGGGTCCAGGTGCTGGGGTGATTACCCTTATCTTGTTTCCTGCTAAATCATGGAGGTTTGGGGAGTTCCTTCAGACCCCCAGTAAACTTGTTTGTGGAGGCCTGGAGAGTTTCTTCAGACCCACAGTAAAATTTATTGAATCCTAAATGGGTCTTGTTAAGAATTCCTTCGTTATTTTGTCATGCTTTAAGGCCCAGGAAAGGCCTAGGCAAAACTCTTGGTGGGCTTTTCTTACGTTCCAGCCTTTGTATAAAGGCACTGGCTTTTAATATTTAACTTAACTACTCAATCAGTACTGAAACAGTTGCTATGGAGGCCTGCATTAGTAAGACCTGGCCTGCCACAGTACCACCACGCCCAGCCCTTATGATTTTATCTGTCACACAGGCTGGAGCTTGGTGGCACCAACATATCCTACTGCAGCCTTGAACTCCTGGACTCAAGTGGTCCTCCTGCTTCAGCCTTCAGAGTAGCTGGGACTACAGGCGCATGACACCATGCCTGGCAAATTTTTAAATTATTTATAGAGATGGGGTCTTGCTATGTTGCCTAGGCTGGTCTCTAACTCCTGGGCTTGAGCGATCCTCCAACCTTGACCTCCCAAAGTGTTGGGATTACAGGCATGAACTACCATGCCTACCCCATGATTTTCTTAATAGCATTTTCTTTTCTCTAGCTTACTTAATTTTAACAATATAGTATATATATAAAACATAAAAAATACATGTTAGTCTTCTACTATGTAATTCGTAAGGCTTCCAGTCAATAGGAAGCTATTAGTAGTTAAGTTTTTGGGGAGTCAAAAATTTTTTTTCTTTTTCTTTGCTTTTTTAAAATTGAGATAGGGTCTCACCGGGCGCGGTGGCTCACACCTGTAATCCCAGCACTTTGGGAAGCTGAGGCGGGTAGATCACCTGAGGTCAGGAGTTTAAGACCAGCCTGACCAACACGGAGAAACCCTGCCTCTATTAAAAGTACAAAATTAGCCAGGCATTGTGACGCATGCCTCTAATTCCAGCTACTTGGGAGGCTGAGGCAGGAGAATCACTTGAACCCGGGAGGCCGAGGTTGTGGTGACCCAAGATCGTGCCATTGCACTCTAGCCTGGGCAATAAGAGTGAAACGCCATCTCAAAAAAAAAAAAAAAAAGAGAGACAGGGTCTCACTCTGTCACCCAGGCTGGAGTGCAGCAATGGAAACATGGCTCACTGCAGCCTTGACCTCCTTGGCTCAAGCAATCTTCCTGCCTCAGTCTCCTGAGTAGTTGGGACCACAGGTGCATGCCACCATGCTGAGCTAATTTTGTATTTTCATAGAGACGGAGTCGTGCCTTGTTGCCCAGGCTGGACTCAAACTCCTGAGATCAGGCAGTGCACCTGCCTCAGCCTCCCAAAGTGCTGGGATTATAGGCACGGGCCACCACGCACAGCCTTTTTCTTTGTTTGTTTGTGTTTTGTTTGCTTTTTTTTTTTTTGAAAAGGGGTCTCACTCTGTTGCCCAGGCTAGAGTGCAGTGGCGTGATCTCAGCTCACCACAACCTCTGCCTCCTGGGTTCAAGCAATTCTCGTGCTTCAGCCTCCCGAGTAAGTGGGACTACAGGCATGCGCCACCATGCCTGGCTAATTTTTGTATTTTTAGTAGAGACAGGGTTTCACTATGTTGGCCAGGCTGGTCTGGAACTCCTGACCTCGTGATCCACCCACCTTGCCCTCCCAAAGTGCTGGGATTACAAGCAGGAGCCACCGCACCCAGTTCTTTGTTTTTTTCATTCTGCTTTTTTTTTTTTTTTTTTTTTTTGCGGGGCGGGGGAGAGGGAATAAAAAAGTATACATGCGGTTTTGACTCTGCAGAGGGGTCAGTGTCTCTAATCCTTAGAGACACTGGTTCTTCAAGGGTCAACTCTAGTTTCTCTTAAGAGCAACAAGTTAAGCCATAAGCCAGCTAGATCACCAGAGGGAACTTAACTGATTGAGTGGTTAAGTTAAATATTAAAAGCCAGTGCCTTTTATATTTAAAGATATAAAATAGGGGAAAGATCCTAAGAAGAGCACTCTTGAGGTCAGAACAAAACTCAAAGACTTGCCTCAAAAACCATCCCTGCCAGAAATTAATTGAATCAGACTGTGGAGGAATTTATGCCTCAGGACATTGTCAAAAATAATAGAGCAATCAGCTTGCAGTTAGTGGAGCTTAACAGCTGGGTGTGGGGAAAGAGACAAAGAGAGCCCTGCTAAAACCACTATTATCTTACTGTGACTACAGGTACACTCAAGGCTACATCTTCTGAAGAATGACACCAAAGACTTCACAATATGGGGGAAATAGACTTCACTAAAATAATCTAGTCAAGTCACTAAGCAAACAAGCAAAAAACAACAGAAACAAGCCCTACAGAGAGGAAAGAGGAATTAGAGTTGCTAATATATTATTATCATTATTTTGAGATGAAGTCTCACTCTGTTGCCCAAGTTGGAGTGCAGTGATGCAATCTCAGCTCACTGCAACCTCAGCCTCCTGGATTTCAGTGATTCTCTTGCCTCAGCTTCCCGAGTAGCTGGGATTACAGGTGCGCCACCACGCCTGGATAATTTTTGTATTTTTAGTAGAGATGAGGTTTCCCCTTGTTGGCCAGGCTGGTTTTTAACTCCTGACCTCAGGTGATCTGTCCACCGTGGCCTCCCAAAGTGCTGGGATTACAGGTGTGAGCCACCATGCCCAGCCTAATATATTATTTTACATATCCAGTTTTAGGCCAAAAAAATTATTAAGATTTGCAAAGAAAAAAGAAAGCGTGACATATACACAGGAGCAAAAAAGTAGGCAACAAAAACTGCCCGTGAGAGAGCCCAGACATTTGATTTAATGGAAAAGATTTCAAAGCACTTATTATAAATATGTTCAAATAACTAAGGAAACCATGCTTCAAGAAGTAATGAAGACTAGGCACAGTGGCTCATGCCTACAATCCCAGCACTTTGGGAGGTTGAGGCAGGAGGATCACTTGAGCCCAGGAGTTTGAGAACAGCCTGGTCAACATAATGAGACTCTGTCTCAAAATAATAATAATAATAATAATTAATTAATAAAAATTAAAATTGGCTGGGTGCAGTGGCTCATGCCTGTAATCCCAGCAATTTGGGAGACTGAGGCAGGCAGATCACCTGAGGTCAGGAGTTCGAGACCAGTCTGGCCAACATGGCAAAACCCCATCTCTACTAAAATACAAAAATTATCCGGGTGTGGTGGTGCACGCCTGTAATCCCAGCTACTCGAGAGGCTGAGGTGGGAGGATTGCTTGAACCCAGAAGGTGGAGGTTGCAGTGAGCTGAGATCACACCACCGCACTCCAGCCTGGGCGACAGAGTGAGACTGTCTCCAAACAAAACAAAACAAAACAAAACGAAACAAAAAAACCCAGAAATTCTATGTGTGAAGTATGAACATATTGACTAAATTCAAAAGGGTGTTATATGGTTTTTCTGTAAGTTGAGCATTGAAATAAAAGCACAACAAGACACTCATAAGGCACTAATCTGCTCTTTAACAAAATTTGTAAAGGGTTATAAAAGGTTTTTGCTCTTTTAAATTTCTGAGTCATTTTAGCAAAATAAATAACTTGTGGTAATTTGGAATTCTATTTCATAACATCAAGTGTTTTAAACCTCTAACATATTTAACAGGCTTCCAGAAATTAAACTTCCATTACAAAATTGCCTTTCCTGATGGCTGGCTTTTGGATGCTACAGAGGGCCCCTGCAGTATCCAAAAGAGAGGTAAACAGAATTATTTGACAAGTTTAGTTACATGGGATTGCCAAAATGGTGTCCAATCTTCTTTAGGTTATATTCTGGTGAATAATACTAATGTATGTTCCAAAATTGTGTGGGATTTCTAAAATTCTAATGTCTAAAGTATATGCTATCAGTCATAATTAAGGTTGTTAAGTTATTGTAAACCACAGAGATAACCAAAGTTCTTTGTCAATTGTGTTTCTAACTGTAACTACCCTGGACATTTTGTTATTCACAGACAATTGTTGTCTTGTTTTGATCCTTTTCATAAGCTACAGGACTCTGCAGCCATAAAAAGAATGGGTTCATGTCCTCTCCAGGGACATGGATGAAGCTGGAAACCATCATTGTCAGCAAACTAACACAGGAACAGAAAACCAAACACCACATGTTCTTACTCATAAGTGAGAGTTGAACAATGAGAACACATGGACACAGGGAGGGGAACATCACACACTAAGGCCTGTCAGGGAGTGGGGGACAAGGGGAGGGAGAGCATTAGGACAAATACCTAATGCATGTGGGGCTTAAAACCTAGATGATAGGCTGGGTACGGTGGCTCACGCCTGTAATCCCTGCACTTTGGGGGGCCGAGGCGAGCAGATCACCTGAGGTCAGGAGTTCATGACCAGGCTGACCAACATGGAGAAACCCCGTCTCTACTAAAAGTACAAAATTAGCCGGGTATGGTGGCACATGCCTGGAATCCCAGCTACTTGGGAGGCTGAGGCAGGAGAATCACTTGAACCCGGGAGGTGGAGCTTGTGGTGAGCCAAGATCACATGCCATTGCACTCCAGCATGGGCAACAAGAGCGAAATTCCGTCTCTCTCTCTCTCTCTCTCTCACACACACACACACACACACACACACACAACAAAAAACAAAAAACCTAGATGACAGGTTGATAGGTGTAGCAAACCACCATGGCACATGTATACCTATGTAACAAACCTGCATGTTCTGCACATGTATCCAAGAACTTAAAGCAAAATTAAAAAAAAAAATAAGCTATAGGACTCTGACAAGTATGCTCAAATATCAGTTTCTGATAACTTTGGAGATTGTGACATTGGCACACAGGAAAAATGTACAGGACTCATGAAGAGCTGAAATGTTCATGAATATCAAGCAAAACAAGAGTTAACTGAATGGACTGAACTAATAGAAAACTGAAGTAATCTTCTGGACTTTTGCTTGGAACATTGCTGATCCTTGTTTCATTTTTCAGAGTCGAGGAAAATTATTAGGAATTATTTACAGCCTTTAATAATTGAGTAGGGTGGCCAGGCGCGGTGGCTCACGCCTGTAGTCCCAGCACTTTGGGAGGCCAAGGCGGGTGGATCACGAGGTCAGGAGATCGAGACCATCCTGGCTAACACGGTGAAACCGTGTCTCTACTAAAAATACAAAAAATTATCAGGGTGTGGTGGCAGGCGCCTGTAGTCCCAGCTACTCGGGAGGCTGAGGCAGGAGAATGGCATGAACCCGGGAGGCGGAGCTTGCAGTGAGCTGAGATCACGCCACTGCACTCCCACCTGGGCCACAAAGCGAGACTCCGTCTCAAAAAAAAAAAAAATTGAGTAGGGTATACTCCTGTGAACAAAATTTGGAGCATGTTTGTTTCTCTCTGCCTGGTTCCTCTAGAATTTAGAAACTATCTATGAGTATTCATAACTTATGACAATATAGTTGTTTGTATCAGTGCAGTAAGAATCCATTTTCTTTTGCAACAGGATGCAATTGGAGAAACTGGTTGTTTTACCAAGGCTTTGACTGGAATGGTATGCTTCCCTTTAAGGAGTCAATCTCAACTTGCAGAGCCAATAAAAGTCCTTTGGTAAAACTGGCTTCATGCCCTTGTCTACACAGTCTCCATACAGGGTTCCTAACCTGCAATGAGTAAAGAATGTCACTTTCCAACAGGCCCAGAAAACACATGCTCTTGGGACCTCAAGAAGAGAGGAGTTTACCCAACTCACAGGTATTTGAGGATACAAACTCATGGCTGGCCTGAGCTTTAAAAGGTCTTATCTGAAATTCCTTGTGGAACAGAGTTCCATCAAAGTCAATCTAAAAGGCCTATGTAGAAATAATTATTTTTGCTGCACTTTATGCAAATAATCAGGCCAAGTATAAGATTAAAGTCGATTTTGCAAACAACTGAGTTCTAACTTGATTTGTTTTTAACAGAAATGAGGACTAGAAGGCTGGGCATGGTGGCTCATGCCTGTAAACCCACCACTTTGGGAGGCCAAAGTGGGTGGATCACCTGGTATCAGGAGTTCAAGACCAGCCTGGCCAACATGGTGAAACCCCGTCTCTACTGAAAATATTAAAAATTAGCCAGGTGTGGTGGTGTGCGCCTGTAGTCCCAGCTACTCGGGAGGCTGAGGAACGAGAATCTCTTGAACCGAGGAGGTGGAGGTTGTGGTGAGCCAAAATTGTGCCACTGCACTCCAGCCTGGGTAACAGAGCAATACTCTGTAAGGAAGAAGGAGAGGAGAGGAGAGGGGAGGGGAGGGAAGGGGAGGTGAGGGGAGAAAGAGGGGAGATGGAAAGAGGGGAGGGAGTGAAGCTGAGCGTGGGGGCTCACACCTGTAATCCCAGCACTTTGGGAGGCCGAGGTGGGTGGATTGCCTGAGGTCGGGAGTTCAAGACCAGCCTGACCAACATGGAAAAATGCTGCCTCTACTAAAAATACAAAATTAGCTGGGCATGGTAGCGCATGCCTGTAATCCCAGCTACATGGGAGGCTGAGACAGGAGAATCGCTTGAACCTGGTAGGCAAGATTGTGCCATTGCACTCCAACCTGGGTAACAAGAGTGAAACTCCATCTCAAAAAAAAAAAAAAAAAAAAAAGATTAAAAAAATATATAGAGAGAAATTATATTTCAAAACTTATATATTTGTCATTAAAGTTTAGACTCATTAGTTGTTTCTAAGTTTTGCCTACATTTTAAACTAACCCTGCTTATTCCTGTAAACCAACCAGGGATCTCTGGCTGCAGCTCAGAAACAACAAGAGGGATGGGTAATGTAAAAATCTGGATCAATATTCTAGTTCTGAGCAATTATCCTGCAAATCCTTCCAGGTGATGGGAATAAATACAGTGCCCATAACCCAGAGGTTTCCTCTGTGGGAAAGTAAGACCAAGGGAGCTAACAAAAGCCAAGCCTCATGCACCCAAATCCCAGGAAGCATAACTATAGCCACCAGTTATCTGGCCATGTCACAAGACATCTTTTTCTCTCCTTTGTTGGAGGAAGACTCAATCCCACATCTTCACCCTAGCATTCAGCTTATGATAAGGAGTCCACACAACCCCCCAAAAAACATTTTTGTCCCAAACTCAATTTCAAGCTTCAGGTCAAAGCCCTAGAAAGAAAACTGGATCTGAGGGATCCAGAGGCAGGTGATAATGGAAGTTAAAAGGCACAGTGCAGGTGAGCATAATTAATTCCTGCTGATTAAGCCAAGCTTCCCGTTCCATGGATAAAGATCATGCTAGTATCTGTGGCATAAATGAGGTCTAGGGAATTTAAAAGCTACTGACAGCAGGGGAGATAGGGCATATGTGGGTAAGAGTAAATACTCCCACCCCCTAGAACCCCCTGTTAATATGAGTGAAAACCACTTTGACACCCATGGGTGGGAACCTGTCATGGTTGCTGGGACTCCGGGATACAAGGACAGAAGAGAGAAGGAGTGACACCTCACTTTCTCTCCCTCACGTACTCTGGGTATTTGCTAGGAAGGGAAAGGAACCAGGGACAGACCTGTTCCCCTCTTTCTAGATGAGTAGCCATTCATCTTCAGTCTGTGCCCCTTTCTTTCTTTTTCTTTTTCTTTTTTTTTTTTTTTTTGAGACGGAGTTTCACTCTTGTCGCTGCACTCCAGGCTGGCAGGCTGGAGTGCAGTGGAGCAATCTCAGCTCACCGCAACCTCCACCTCCCAGGTTCAAGCGATTCTCCTGCCTTAGCCTCCTGAGTAGCTGGGATTACAGGCGTGAGCCACCGTGCCCAGCTAATTTTTTTGTATTTTTAGTAGAGACGGGGTTTCGCCATGTTGGCCAGGCTGGTCTCCAACTCCTGATCTCAGGTGATCCGGCCGCCTCAGCCTCCCAAAGTGCTGGGATTACAGGTGTGAGCCACTGGCCCCGCTGTCTGTGCTCCTTTCGAATGCGTCCTGAACCCTTGGGACTCCTCTGAGGAAAACGCCTTCTTTTTTTCCTTTTTTCTCCTCTGTCCTCTCTTCACCGATAGGTAATTGTGTCTCCATACTACGGGACATTCCCCTCAGATGCATCCTCCAAACTGAGAAGAGTTAATTTCCCAATCCTGCTGGGCACGGTGGCTCACGCCTGTAATCCCAGCACTTTGGGAGGCCAAGATGGGCGGATCACGAGGTCAGGAGATCGAGAACATCCTGGCTAACACGGTGAAACCCCCTCTCTACTAAAAAATATGAAAAATTAGCTGGGCGTGGTGGCGGGCGCCTGTAGTCCCAGCTACTCGGGAGGCTGAGGTGGGAGAATGGCGTGAACCCGGGAGGCGGAGCTTGCAGTGAGCCGAGATCGCACCACTGCACTCCAGCCTGGGCGACAGAGCAAGACTCTATCTCAAAAAAAAAAAAAAGAAAAAAAGAAAAAAAAATTCCCAAACCTTAGACTGGTTGGCTTAGGATGGGGCTCAGGGGAGGGGAACCCAGAAGCCTGACATGCTGGTGAAAGGGTAAAAAGGGTAAAGTGGATTTTTTATAAGTCAGGCTTTTGGCCTTCCACTCCTTGTGCAAACCAGTAAAAGGCCTCAGGAATTTTTTTTTTTTTTTTTTTTTTTTTTGAGACGGAGTTTCTGTCTTGTCATCCAGGCTGGAGTGCAATGGCACAATCTTGGCTCACTGCAACCTCCACCTGGGTTCAAGCGATTCTCCTGCCTCAGCCTCCCGAGTCGCTGGGATTACAGGCACCTGCCACTGTGCCCAGCTAATTTTTTTTTTTTTGTATTTTTAGTAGAGATGGGGTTTCACAATGTTGGCCAGGCTGGTCTCGAACTCTTGACCTCCGGTTATCCACCTGCTTTGGCCTCCCAAAGTGCTTGAGCCACCGCACCTGGACGTTTCTTTTCTTTTTTTTGAGACGGAGTCTTGCTCTGTCACCCAGGCTGGAGTGCAGTGGCACTATCTTGGCTCACTGCAACCTCTGCCTCCCCGGGTTCAAGCAATTCTCCTGCTGGGATTACAGGCACGTGCCACTATGCCCAGTTAATTTTCATATTTTTAGTAGAGACAGGGTTTCTCCACGTTGGTCAGGCTGGTCTTGAACTCCTGACCTCAGGTGATCCACCCGCCTCGGCCTCCCAAAATGCTGGGATTATAGGCGTGAGCCACCACTCCCAGCCAAGGCCTCAGGATTTTTAAGCTGTCCTTACCCCCACCTTATTTTGCCTTGATACAAGTTTTCTGACAACCTGGTTTGTCTCTTCTCGGCTTCAGGCCATCAAAGTCCAAATGGTCATGCAACTGGAGCCTCAGATGATGGCGGCCCCTTTTGCCAGGGACCCTTAGATAGGCCTCTAAGGGAGCTCCGACAGCCATCTTCTCAAAACAGCGCCCCCTGTCAGCAGGAAGCAGTTAAGACCGGTCTTGGTCTTTATCCTTATCCTTGTTCTAACAGCAGTTAGATGGACTTCTTTAGAGGCGGGATTAACAATGATAGATGCAGGAAGCAGATAAGGGGGTGGGTCCCCAGAGAATCTCCGACCAGCCTACGTACTAGAAGAATGTGGTGGAGCCATGTTAGTTCACGCCGTTTGCATCCAGGTGGAGCCTGGCCTCTTCAGTTCCTGTGTGGTGGCCTGGGATTCAATCTGTAAAGTGGGGGCCTGCTCGCAGGACTGCCCTCTCACTTTGCTGAGAGTTTCTTTCTTTTTTTTTCCTTTTCACCCAATAAACCCCGCTCTACCCACTGTTCAATGTGTCCGTGTGCGTAAATTTTCCTGGTCGTGTGATAAGAACCTGGTTTTTCTGCAACAGTATCACCTAACAGAAGAAAGAATTACAATCTGAAGATAGATCATAATATTATGCAATCCAAAGAATAGAAATAAAAATAATGAAGGAAAGGCTTGGCGCGTTGGCTCACACCTGTAATCCCAGCACTTTGGGAAGCCAAGGTGGGCAGATCACCTGAGGTCAGGAGTTCGAGACCAGCCTGACCAATATGATGAAACCCCATCTATACTAAAAATACAAAAAAAAAATTAGCTGGGCATGGTGGCATGCCCGGTGGCACCTGTAATCCCAGCTACTCAGGAGGTTGAGACAGGAGAATCACTTGAACCCAGGAGGCAGAGGTTGCAGTGAGCCGAGATTGTGCCACTGCACTCCAGTCTGGGCAACAGAGTGAGACTCTGTCTCAAAAAAAAAAAAAAAAAAAAATGAAGAAAAATAAACAGAGCATCAAAGAAACGTGAGACACCATTAAGCACACCACCATACATGTAAGGGAAATACCAGAAGCAGAGCAGAGAACGAGCAAATAAAAGTCAAAGAAATAATTGGCTGGAAACTTCCCAAACTTACTGAAAAACATTAATGTACAAATCCAAAGAGCTCAACAAACTCTACGCAGAATAGACACAAAGAGATCCACAATTATATATATTAGTTAAAAAAAAAAAAACTAGGCCAGGCGCGGTGGCTCATGCCTGTAATTCCAGCACTTTGGGAAGGCCGAGGCAGGTGGATCACCTGAGGTCAGGAGTTTGAGACCAGCCTGGCCAACATGGTGAAACCTGTCTCCACTAAAAATACAAAAAATTAGCTGGGAGTGGTGGCACACGCCTGTAATCCCAGCTACTCGGGAGGTTGAAGCAGGAGAATTGCTTGAATATGGGAGGCCGAGGTTGCAGTGAGCTGAGATCGCACTACTACACTCAAGCATGGGTGACAGAGCAACACTGTCTCAAAAAAAAACAAAAACAAAAAGGAAACAACCTAAAGTCCATCAACTCATGAATGAAGAAAGAAAATGTGGTATATTCACATACAATGGAATACATGACAACAAAAAGTGATTAATTACTGATATAGGCTACAAAATGTATGAATGTTGAAATTATATAAGTGAAAGAAGCCAATCACAAAATACCACATATTCTACAATGCCATGAATATGAAGTGACCAGAATAAGCAAATATAAAGAGACAGAACACAGGTTCGTGATTGCCTAGTGCAGGGCTTGGGGGCTAAACAAAATGAAGAGTTACTGCTAATGTATATGGGGTTTCTTTTCTTTTTTTTTTTTTTTTGAGATGGAGTCTTCCTCTGTCACCCACCCAGGCTGGAGTGCAGTGGCATAATCTTGGCTCACTGCAACCTCCACCTCCCAGGTTCAAGCAATTCTGCCTCAGCCTCCCAAGTAGCTGGGATTACAGATGCCCACTGCCACGCCCAGCTAATTTCTGTATTTTTACTAGAGATGGGGTTTCACCATGTTGGCCAGGCTGGTCTCGAACTCTTGACATCGTGATCCACCCACCTCGGCCTCCCAAAGTGCTGGGATTACAGGCACGAGCCACCGCGCCTGGCTTTTCTTTTTTTTCTTTTTTGTTTTGAGATGGAGTTTCACTCTTGTTGCCCAGCCGGGAGTGCAGTGACGCGATCTTAGTTCACTGCAACTTCTGCCTTCCAGTTTCAAGCGATTCTCCTGTCTCAGCCTCCTGAGTAGCTGGGATTACAGGCATGCGCCAGCATGCCTGGCTAATTTTTGTATTTTTAGTAGAGACAAGGTTTCACCATGTTGGCCAGGCTGGTAGAACTCCTGACCTCATAATCCGCCTGCTCGGCCTCCCAAAGTGCTGGGAGAATTGCAGGTGTGAGCCACTAAGCCCGGCCAGTATATGGAGTTTCTTTTGGGGTGATTAAGCTGTTCTAAAACAGATTGTGGTGGTCATACAAGTCTGAATATGTTCAAAAACCATTGAAATCTACACTTTAGGTGAATTGTATCATAATTAGTTATATCTGAATAAAGCTGTTATGAAAAGAGAATGAGAGTGAAATAAATATATCATCGGATAAACAAAAGCTGAAAAAGATTAAGACCAACATAACTCATTAAAGGAAATTGTTTGACATGCATCAGACAGAAGAAACATGATCCCGGATGAAAGAAAATTTGAGATGCAAGAAGGAATTAAGAGAAAAGATATTGAAGCCAGGCACGGTGGCTCAGGCCTGTAATCCCAGCACTTTGGGAGGCTGAGGCGGGCAGATCACCCAAGGTCGGGAGTTCGAGACCAGCCTGACCAACGTGGAGAAACCCCATCTCTACTAAAAAATACAAAATTAGCTGGGCATGGTGGCTCATGCCTGTAATCCCAGCTACTTGGGAGGCTGAGGCAGGAGAATCGCTTGAACCTGGGAGGCGGAGGTTGCGATGAGCCGAGATCTCGCTGCTGCACTCCAGCCTGGGCAACAAGAGCGAAACTCCGTCTCAAAAAGAAAAAAAGATATTGATAGATATCTAAGGAAATCTAAACTAACTTTAATAGTAAAATATAATAATGTCTTATTTATGACAATTGTCATAGTACAAATACTAGACAGTAGTTGCATTTAAATGAAAGAAGGGTTCAGAATTGAAGCATTGTAAGATCCTAGTATGATTCAGCAAGAGAGTAACTGTGTTTTTTAACTATATTTTATCTTATTTATTTGATTTGATTGTGATTGATTAGAGACAGCGTTCACCCTGTCACCCAGGCTGGAGTGCAGTGGCATTATTTTGGCTCCCTGCAGCCTCGACCTCCTGGACTCAAGTGATCCTCCTGCCTCAACCTCCCAAAGTGTTGGGATTACAGGCATGAGTCACTGCATCCAGCCTATATTTCTAACTTTAGACTTCAACTTATATAGCTTAAAATAATTTTGGTAAATTTTTAAAAAATAAAATACAAAAAAAAGAAAAATAATAATTGGGGTAGTCACACACACAAAATAGACATAAAGCATAGATTTTAAACATATAGTGAGAAAATAATGAAACGAGAAAAAACATTAACCCTCTGGAAGGCATGAGAGGAAAGGAGGAAAAGTGAGAAAGATAACTGTGAAGTAAATAAGAGAGTAGGAAGAAAATCCAAATGTATTAGTAGTCATACTAAATGCAAATAGGCTAAATTCTCCAATAAAAGGACAATTGGTTGTAAGAAGGTATAAAAAACAAAAGCCCATGATATACTATTTATAAGAGGCTTAAATGTAAAGATACAGAAAGATGGAAGAATAATATACTTGAAAAATTCCAACTGAAAGAAAAACTGGTGTAGCTATCTCAGATAAAATTGACCCTAAGTTGGCCAGGCATGGTGGCTCACGCCTGTAATCCCAGCACTTTGGGAGGCTGAGGTGGGTGGATCATCTGAGGTCAGGAGTTCGAGACCAGCCTGGCAAACAAGGTGAAACCCTGTCTCCACTAAATATACAAAAATTACCCGGGCATGGTGGCAGGCGCCTGTAATCCCAGCTACTTGGGAGGCTGAGGCAGGAGAATTGCTTGAACCTGAGGGATGGAGGTTGCAGTGAGCCAAGATTGCACCACCACACTCCAGCCTGGGTGACAGAGCGAGACTTCATCCCAAAACAAAAACAAACAAAAAAAAATTGACCCTAAGTTAAAAAGCACTTCTTGAGATAAAGAGGATTGCTACAATGATAAAAGAGTCCATTCACCAGGAAAGTATTAGAATTTTAAGCTGGAATGAACTAAAAACATTAAGCATACAAAGTAAGACAAGTAAGATGAAATTGAAAAATTCGTCGGGCCCAGTGTCTCATGCCTGTAATCCCAGCACTTTGGGAGGCCAAGGTGAGTGGATCACCCTGAGGTCAGGAGTTGGAGACCAGCCTGGCCAACATGGTAAAACCCCGTCTCTAAAAATACAGAAAAATTAGCTAGGCGTGGTGGCGTGCACCTGTAATTCCAGCTACTCAGGAGGCTGAGGCAGTAGAGGCAGTAGAATCATGGGAACCTGGGAGGTGGAGGTTGCTTTGAGCTGGGATTGCACCACTGCACTCCAAACCTGGGTGACAGAGTGAGACTCTGTCTCGAAAAACAGAAAAGAAAAAAAAATACATATATATATATATATATATATATATATATATATGTACAAAATAAATCACTCACAGATCAAACATATCAAAATGGAAATTAGAAAATGATTTGGAATAATGATGATAGAGTCCCATGTAGCATAAAAACCTATGGCTTGAGGCTGGGCACAGTGGCTCATGCCTGTAATCCCAGTGCTTTGGGAGGCCGAGGCAGGTGGATCACGAGGTCAGGAAATCGAGACCATCCTGGCTAACATGCTGAAACCCAGTCTCTACTAAAAAATTAGCTGGGTGTGGTGGCACGCACCTGTAGTTCCAGCTACTTGGGAGGCTGAGGCAGGAGAATCGCTTGAACCCAGGAAGCAAAGGTTGAGGTGAGCCAAAATTGTGTCCTTGCACTCCAGCCTTGGCGACAGGAGCGAAACTCCATCTCAAAAATAAATAAATAAATAAAAACAAAAATGAACCTAGCTGGGTGCGGTGGCACATGCCTGTAATTCCAGCACTTCGGGAGGCCAAGGAGGGAGGATCGCTTGAGTCCAGGAGTTCAAGACTAGCCTAGGCAACATAGTGAGACTTTGTCTCTACAAAAAATAAAATTAGCCAGGCGTGGTAACTCACACCTGTAGTTCTACCTACTCAGGAGCCTGAGTGGGAGGATCGCTTGAGCCTGGGAGGTTGAGGCTGCAGTGAGCTGAGACTGCGCCACTGCACTCCAGTCTGGGCAACAGAGTGAAAACCTATCTCAAAAAAATTATATATATTCTCAGGATGAATGAAAAAATGGAGAGAGGGAGAGAAAAAGAGAAGACACATACATACAGTTGATTCTTATTGTTTGTGGATTTAATATTTGCAAATTCACCTACTTCCTAAAATTTATTTATAACTTTAAAATCAATAATTGTGGCCATTTGCAGACATGAGCAAACTGGTGAAAAATTTGAGTCACCCAACGCACACGTTCACCACTGAGGTTAAACAAGGCAGTGCTCTGCCTTCTAGTTTTCTATTTTCAATCTACTTAATGACATGTTTTTCATAGCTTGAAGGTTTTTGTTATTTTGCTGATTAAAATGTGCCCCCCAAGCTAGGCACGGTGGCTCACGCCTGTAATCCCAGCACTTTGGGAGGCCGAGGCGGGCGGATCATGAGGTCAGGAGATCGACACCATCCTGGCTAACATGGTGAAACCTTGTCTCTACTAAAAATACAAAAAATTAGCCGGGCGTGGTGGCGGGCGCCTGTAGTCCCAGCTACTCGGGAGGCTGAGGCAGGAGAATGGCGAGAACCCAGGAGGCAGAGCTTGCAGTGAGCCGAGATCACACCACTGCACTCCAGCCTGGGCGACAGAGCAAGACTCCGTCTCAAAATAACATAACAAACATAACATAAAACATACCATATGAAATAAAAAATAACATAAAATAAAATAAAATGTGCCCCCCAGACCAGGCGTAGTGGTTCACACCTGTAATCCCCAGCACTTTGGGAGGCCGAGATGGCTGGATCACCTGAGGTCAGGAGTTCAAGGCCAGTCTGACCAACATGGTGAAACCCCATCTCTACTAAAAAAAAAAAAAAAAAAATACAAAATTAGCTGGGTGTGGTGGTGCATGCCTGCAGTCCCAGCTACTCGGGAGGCTGAGGCAGGAGACTTATTTGAACCCAGGAGGCGGAGGTTGCAGTGAGCCGAGATGGCACCATTGCACTCCAGCCTGGGCAAGAGTGAAACTCCATCTCGAAAAAAGAATGAGAGAAAAATTTGCAAAAATGATTAAGAGCCTCAAAAACCTGTGGGGGGGGAAATCAAAAAGTCTAGTAGGCATGCTACTGAATTCTCAGAAGGAAAGAATAGGACAGAAAAAAAGTATTTGAAAGAATGTCTAGGCCAGGCGCGGTGGCTCACGCCTGTAATCCCAGCACTTTGGGAGGCTGAGGCAGGTGGATCACAAAGTCAGGAGATCGAGACCATCCTGGCTAACATGGTGAAACCCCGTCTCTACTAAAATTACAAAAAATTAGCCGGGTGTGGTGGCAGGCGCCTGTAGTCCCAGGTACTTGGGAGGCTGAGGCAGGAGAATCGCTTGAACCCAGGAGTCAGAGGTTGCAGTGAGCCAAGATAGCGCCACTGCACTCCAGCCTGGGCGATAGACCGAGACGCCATCTTAAAAAAAAAAAAAAAAGTCTAAAAACTTCCCAAATACGCTAAAAGGCAATTTTACAGAATCAAAAATCTCAGGGAAACTCAAACGGGATAAATGAGAAAACTATGCCTGGGCACACAGTGGTGGTTAATGGTACGCGTCAACTTGACTGAGTTAAGGAACGCCCAGAGAGCTGGAAAAACATTCTTTCTGGGTGTGTCAGTGAGAGTGTTTCTTGAAGAGGTCGGCATTTTAATCGGTAGACTGAGTAAGGTTCTCTTGCACCGCCATAGGTGGGCATTGTCCAATCAAGTGAGGGCTTGGAAAGAACAAAAAGGTAGAGGAAGGGTGAGTCCTCTCCTTGAGCTCAGACATCCAACTTCTCCTGCCTTTGGACCTAGAAGCTCCCAATTCTTGGGTCTTTAGACTCCAGGACTTACACCAGCGCCACCACTGCCACCACTGCCACCACCACCCCACCTCCAGTTCTCAGGCCTTTGGACTCAAGACTGAATTACACCACCAGCTTCCTGGTTCTCCAGATTACAGATGGCAGATTGTGAAACTTCTTGGTCCCTGTAATCGTTTGAGCGAATTCCCATGACAAAACCCCTCATTTTTGCTGTGGGGAAGCTCAAGTAAATAGAAAAAAATATATATGTATATATATAATCACATATAAAAGTAATGTGATTATTAGCACAGGAAGATATATATCTCTCCCAATGGTTCTGCTTCTCTGGAGAACTCCAATATACACACCAAAGCTAAACTGTCAAAAACCAAAGAACCAGAGATAAAAAGAAAATCTTGAAAGCATTTAGAGAAAAATAACACAAGAAATATGATCCCAAAGACTGTGAACTTCTCACTAGAAACTGTGAGGGCCGGAAGATAGGACATCTTAGGGACTTCCCTTTCAGAAGCCCCTCTCCCCCACAAGAGAGCGAGCTGTTCTCTTTTCTCTATCTTTTGCATATTAAACCTCTGCTCCTAAAAAAAAAAAAAAAAGTGCTAAAAACAAAAAATGAATCTGTCACACCAGAATCCTATCTCTAGCAAAGATATTCTTTAGGAATGAAGGCAAAATAGACATTTCTAGATAACAGGCCAGGTGCAGTGGCTCATGCCTGTAATCCCAGCACTTTGGGAGGCCAAAGTGGACAGATCACCTGAAATCAGGAGTTTGAGACCAGCCTGGCCAACACTGTGAAATCCCTTCTCTATTAAAAATACCAAAGTAGCTGGGCATGGTGACGGACATCTGCAATCGCAGCTACTTGGAAGGCTGAGGCAGTGAGAATTGCTTGAACCCAAGAGGCAGAGGTTGTAGTGAGCCGAGACTGCGCCACTGCACTCCAGCCTGGGCAACAGAGCGAGACTGTCTCAAAAAAATAAAATAAAAATAAAAATACCTCAAGTAAATCAGAAATGACTTGCAGAGGATGTAGAACATTGATACCACATTAAGGTGCTAATGAAAGGGGGAAAAATAGCCGGCTAAAACTAGCGTATTACCCCCAAGTCCTTTTACTTCAGCTTCTGTATTACAACATCTATATAATCTTTTCATTCTTGGTTTGAGGCCAAAATCAAAGTACATTTTTGTTCACTTGTTAGTGACTCAAGAAAAGTATAGGAAAAAATACCAAAGAAAGTATGCCTCCTAGTGGTGGGATTATGGGTGATCATTTTTCTCCCTCTGCATTATACTTTTCTACACTTTTCCAAATTATTTATGACAATCAGTAAAACAAGTTAAAAAGCTGTTATGGTCAATATCACCTTAATAGAGGACAAGAGCTGCATCTGTTGTGACTATAACAAACTCAGTACAGAGCAGTGCCTGGCACAGAGCAGGGGCTGTGTGTGGGCTGACTGTAAGGTACCCTCCCATTTTCCTGGTCCCCTCCCCCTAACAGATCAAGCAGCAGCCCAGGCAGGAGGCAGGGGCCTGGGGGTCTCCTGAACCCCAATGAAGCACTCGATGTACATACTTTTGGTCAAAATTAGTAAACTTTATTTAAACTTCAAAAAAATAAAATAACAGACAAAAGGCAGCTTTAGCTTTGTTCTTCCCGAGGATCAGCTGTAACCACTCACAGCAGGAACTACCCCTAAGTTAAAATACCCTTTACCCGCCCCGCATCAAGCCACAGGCAAGGAAGGATCTTCAATTTGGGGACAGGCAGGGGGTGGGTGGGGTAGGAGTGAGAACACCACTGGGCCAGTGAGTTCTAACAGCACAAGTGGAGAACAAGACAAGAGTCTGCATCAGAAACGGGATCCAGAAGTTCACCGGGAGCTCTGCCACAAGGCATTTATGTACAACGGAGCTGGGCTGGGGGTGACGCCCCGTGAGGGAGGCAAGAACTGCACAGCAGCACGGGCAAGCTGCCCTGGGCCCTAGCCCGCTGCCGCACCCCACGTGCCCTCAGTTCTCCTCGTCACTGTCATCCGGGCTGATAGCCGGGCTTGTGAGACTGTAGGTGGGGCTGGTGGGCGAGTAACCAGGGGAAGTGGGAGAGTAGGTTGAGCCTTTGGGGGAGGTGGGCGAGTAGGTGGGGCTGGTGGGCGAGTACTTGGGGGAAGTGGGCGAGTAAGTGGGGCTAGTAGGTGAGTACTTGGGAGAGGTTGGGGTGTAGACTGGAGAGGTTGGGGAATAAGTAGGAGATGTTGGGGAGTATTTTGGGGTGGTGGGTGAATAGGTGGGACTGGTAGGCGAGTACTTGGGAGAGGTGGGTGAATATTTGGGACTGGTAGGTGAGTACTTGGGAGAGGTTGGGGTATACTCTGGGGAGCTGGGACTGTAAGAAGGACTGGTTGGGGTGTACTTGGGTGAGGTTGGGCTGTAGCTGGGCGAGCTGGGGCTGTAGCTGGGTGAGCTTGGGGTATAGGTTGGAGACTGTGGTGTGTATCGTGGGCTGGAAGGGGAGTAACTTGGTGAGGTCGGGGAATAGCTGGGTGATGTTGGAGAGTAGCTTGGAGAGGTTGGGCTGTAGTTAGGGCTGGTAGGTGTGTAGTTGGGACTAGTAGGTGAATAGCTGGGTGATGTCGGGCTGTAGCTGGGTGATGTTGGGGTGTAATTGGGACTGGTTGGAGAATAGTTCGGGCTGGTGGGTGAGTAACTTGGGGAAGTGGGTGAGTAGCTGGGGGAGGTGGGTGAATAGCTTGGAGAGGTAGGTGAGTAGCTGGGAGAAGTGGGAGAATAGCTGGGTGAAGTTGGCGAGTAGCTGGGAGATGTCGGCGAGTAGCTGGGAGACGTTGGCGAGTAGCTAGGGGAAGTGGGCGAGTAGCTAGGGGAAGTGGGTGAGTAGCTGGGAGAGGTGGGCGAGTAGCTGGGAGAGGTGGGCGAGTAGCTGGGAGAGGTGGGTGAGTAGCTGGGAGAGGTCGGTGAGTAGCTGGGTGACGTTGGCGAATAGCTGGGTGATGTGGGACTATAGTTGGGACTGGTTGGAGAATAGGATGGAGAGGTAGGGGAGTAGGAGGGTGAAGTGGGGGAATAAGAGGGACTCTGGGGTGTGTAGCCCCCAGGAGAGCGGGGCTCGTAGGCAGGTGACGTTGGCGAGTAGCTGGGAGACATGGCACCACCTGTGGGGAAGCAGCCAACAAAGGAGATGAGCAATGGACAGACTCACCCAGAACTGTGGAGGAAACAAACCTGGCCTGACAGATGGCGACAACTCACCTGGTGAAGGGATGTAGGGGCTTGAGGGACCTGGGGACCCCGGGGAGCCCGGTGTGGGAGACCAGGCAGGGGAGTAACCTGGGCTGAAGCCGCTGGCATCTGACGCAGCACTGGGAGAGAAGCCGGCTGCCCCTGGGGTCATTCCACTCCCTATAGAGTGAGAGAAGCAAGTTAAGGCCAGAGCGGGAGACCAAAGGCCCCCAATTCTCCCTGCCCCACCTTTCACTAGCCCTCTGCGGCCTTCAGAGTTCCAACAATGGCTACCGTTCACGATCCCAGCTTATCCACCTCTGAACCACCTGGAGGGCCCTCTTCCTGGATCAGGTTACTCACCAACACTGGGGGACCAGGCGCCATAGGCAGGGGTTGCACCCTGGTTCCAAGGTGTCATGGCAGGAGAGATTCCACCCATGGGACTGGGTGCTGAACCAAAGAACATGCCGGTGGCTGCAAAGAGGAACACAGGAAATCGTGAGGAGCAAGAACAGCAATCATGGACTGGTGACACCCTTGCACCCATGGCCTGCCCCCCCGCCTCGCCGACGCAAGCAGGTACCGCAGCTGGGGCCTCATACTCACGTCCAGCAGCCCCCAGGCCGGGGATATTGGTGGGGATCTCCATGCCATACTTGCACTTCTCTGCATCAAGCAGGAGGTCAAAGCAGCCAGTGCCGGCCGGAGCCAGCTGGCCCAGCATGATATTCTCAGAGACCCCCTTCATGGGGTCACTCTCACCGTGTGCGGCTGCTTCCATAAGCACGTCCACCTGAACAGAGCAGACCGGCCCCATGAGACCCCTCCACACACAGCACCTGACTGTCCCATCACCACAGCCCAGCTGCCCAAAGTGTGTGCCCTTCTTCTCACACTACTCCCTCCTTCTGCCCTATTCAGAAATTCCACTGTTACCGTTTCCTCAAAGGAACACTTCATGAGTGGTCCTGTGTCCTGGCGGTTGACTCCGTGTCGGGTGATGGCCATCAAGTGGCCACGACAGGTCATGGTATCACACAAGAGAGCCAAGTGTCGGTAATTGACATAGGAGCCATCAAAGGAGATGACGTGGTACAGCTCCCGCTCCAGGGCCTTCCGCACGGCTTCAATGCCCAGCACCTGGCACAGGGGAGGGAAGTGGAGGGGAGGGCCAGGACTGAGCAACTCTGCTCTCTTCCCTGCTTCTGTCGCCACCCAGATCCAGGGAGGGTGTCAGGAGCCAGGATATCCCACACTCAGAAATGGAATCAGGCAGAAAAAGTCCTGAGTGGACAGCACAGAATGAGGGGCCTGAGAGCCAGAGATCCACGAAAGGCAGCTAGGCAGCACACACGGGCTCACCGTGAAGATCTCCACAATGTCATTGGACGTGGTGCGTACGGGGTCCACGTCCTTCTCACTCAGCACCCGCATCAAGCTCACGCCGTCCGTCTCCAGGATCCACTCCTGCAGGGCCTTGAATTCCCCATCCTCCGTGATGATGATCTTCTTCTTGTTGTCTGTCTGTGGCAAGTGCATGTACACCTGTGGGAAGACAGCGTGCTCAGAGTAGGCAGGGAGGGGAGTGTGGGAGTGGGAGGAGGAAGGCGGTGGCAGAGGGGATGGCTGACCTTGCTGATCTGCTCGATGCCCTGCAGGGTCATATCTGTCAGCATGTTGGACTCGATGCAGCGCAGGAAGACATCATCATCCATCTTGTCCACCACCTCTTCCTCCTGCAGTGAGAGTGAGGTCAGCACTTGGCATCCTCTGGTCTCTTCCCCAGCTCTCGCCTCCAACTACAGCCTCTTTGAGGGCCAAACGAGTCAGTCACCAGGCTCTGCCCCTCACAGTTCCAGTGAGACTTTTTTTTTTTTTTTTTTGAGGTGGAGTCTCGCTGTTATCAGCCTGGGCTGGAGTGCAATGCCACGATCTCAGCTCACTGCAACCTCTACCTCCCATGTTCCTGCAATTCTCCAGTGAGACTTTTAATCCTGATTTTACAATATTAAAAGAAGCCTAAGGAAAGGCACCCAAATCCCACCACCCCGTCACAACTTCCACTCTTGTGCAGTCCTGCGCCTAGCGAGAGGCGGGCTCCACGTACATGTCATATCCTCCCAACTGCTGTACCCGAGCACACACCATTCCCTGCTCTGGCACTTCACTGTGTGTTCATCTAGGCTGCTGCTGGCATGACAGTGATCACTTCTAATGGCCATATACTGTATTCCATCAAGACCTATCAATGCTTTTATAACTGTTCTCTGACAGCAGTTCAGCAGTTAGTGAGTTCTTCAGTTTTTTGTTTTTGTTTTTTTAGAGATGGAGTTTCGCTTATTGCCCAGGCTGGAGTGCAATGGTGTGATCTTGCCTCACCACAACCTCTGCCTCCCATGTTCAAGCATTTCTCCTGCCTCAGCCTCCTGAGTAACTGAGATTACAGGCATGCGCCACCACGCCCGGCTCATTTTGTATTTTTAGTAGAGACGGGGTTTCTCCATGTCGGTCAGGCTGGTCTCGAACTCCCGACCTCAGGTAATCTGCCCGCCTTGGCCTCCCAAAGTGCTGGGATTACAAGTGTGAGCCACCATGCCCAGCCTGAGTTCTTCAGTTTTTATTACTAAAGCACCAGGTACCAACATGTGCCAAACAAGTATCTCAGGAGCCATGCCCAGGAGTGAAGTCACTGATCCAGCCTTTTCATGGGTCTTGTTATGGCTGTCACACGACTTCCCCTAGGACATAGCAATGCCTACTGCCCAACCTGCCCCCAAGTCTGGCCCCTGCCTCAGGGGTGGGGCTTGTATTCCCTAAGCAAAGCAAGCTGCAGGAGCCTTGGGGGAGGAGAGCCAAGTGACAGCGTGACAGGGAGGCACTCCTATCTCCTATTTCAACACCACCTGTTTTATCTACTCGGCCGGTGCTGTGGATTTTGAAAATCGTTGCTAATCACCATTCCCTATCCCTAAATTAGGTGGGTATGACTGGCCCCTCAATGTTTTTTTTATTTTTTGAGATAGTTTCACTCTTGTTGCCTCAGCCTCCCAAGTAGCTAGGATTACAGGCACATACCACCATGCCCGGCTAATTTTTATTTTTAGTAGAGACGGGGTTACTCCATGTTGGTCAGGCTGGTCTCGAACTCCTGAGCTCAGGTGATCCACCCGCCTCAGCCTCCCAAAGTGCTGGGATTACAGGCGTGAGCCACCGCGCCTGGCCGCCCCTCAATGTTGATTGCATCTTCTTTTCTTTGGTCTCTAACGTGATTCATGCGTTTTATACATGTGACACGCTGACTTCTAGGACCCCCATTACCTCTTGCATCTTGTTCTCATCGCTGTTCATGATGCGAATACGGAGCACCAGCTTCTCTGCATTGTCATCATTAAAGATGCAGTTCAAGTCGTCACCAAAACCTGGTGGGGTGAGGAGCCATGAGAAAGGCTGCAGCTAAGGGGACTGGCCCCAGCCACTGTCCACTCGCAGCTCTCTCTGAGCAAGGCTCTCTTTTGGCTCCCCGCTCCTCACAGAAACTTTCTTTTCATAGAACCCCCTGGAAAGGGGAAGGGAGAACATTCAGAAGAGAAAGGGAGTGCAGAGGGGACCTGGAGAGTTGGAGGATGCCTCGGAGGGGCGGAACTGGTACATGCATGGGGGTGAGGGTGGGTAGCTCTTTGGGGGCTCAAGTGCGGTGAACACGATAGGTGGTAGCCCAGAGAGCGGGGCTCCTGAGCCAGGCCAGCCCTCCTAGGCTTACCAGCATTGATCTTTTCAGCAATCTGCTCCATGGTGAGCTTCCGGTCAGTCATGTGCTTCCGATCCAGCTCCACCCGCAACAGCCAGGGGGAGATTCGGGCCACATCAAAGTCAGGCATTTCATAGTAGACATTCACCCATTCCTGATCCTCTGCCACCACCGTGCTCTGGGGGTTGGGGTCATAGTAGATGGCTGTGTTGGCAGTCACCTTCCTCAACGTTGTATGCTCCAGACGGCACAGAATATCCTGGGAAGAGACAGAAGTCCATGACACAGGGAACTGAGTAGCTCTAAACGTCTCTTCTAACCCTCCTTATCAAGGGAATCCAAAACCCTTTATTCAAGGGGAAAAGTTCTCCTTTTTTTTCTTTTTTTCTTTCAGATGGAATCTCGCTCTTGTTGCCCAGGCTGGAGTGCAGTGGCACAATCTCGGCTCACTGCAACCTCTGCCCCCCAGGTTCAAGCGATTCTCCTGTCTCAGCCCCAACTAGCAGCTGGGATTACAGGCACACACGACCATGCCCGGCTAATTTTTCTATTTTTAGTAGAGATGGGGTTTCACCACCTTGGCCAGGTTAGTCTTGAACTCCTGACCTCAGGTGATCCACCTGCCTTGGCCTCCCAAAGTGCTGGGATTACAGACATGAGCCACCATACCCAGTTGAGTTCTCCTTCTTTTCTTCCGGCCAAAAAGCCCAGCAGTCCTGATCCCTACCTTGGCTCTCTCAGCATCTCGAGCGGACTGGCCCAACAGGAAGACAGTAAGCGAAGGAGTCTTTGGCTTCTTGGAAATGTTGATGAGCTCCTTAAGTCGGGGCACACCCAGCGTCACATTCTTGGCAGACACACCAGCATAGTGGAAGGTATTCAAGGTCATCTGGGTGGCAGGTTCTCCAAGGGACTGCGCAGCCAGAGCCCCCACCATTTCCCCGGGATGCGCCTAAGAAAAAGCTAGCATCAGACAAAGCCAACGCCTCTCTTTCAGTGAATGAGTACGATGTGGATCTGCATCTGGCTTATCACAGGGCCAGGACTGTAATCTTAAAGGACATGGGTAGATGAGTTCGGAAAAGGCAGACAGACTCTTAACAAAAACAAAACTCTTATTTGATCATCCCCTTCCTCACACAAGAGCTTCCATTTATAGGACGCCATTTGGCACCTGGTATGCAGCACATCCAAAGAAAGCTACTATACCATCTGAGATCCAAATTTTTTCGAGACGGAGTCTCACCGTCGCCTAGGCTGGAGTGCAATGGCACGATCTCGGCTCACTGCAACTTCTGCCTCCCAGGTTCAAGCGATTCTCCTGCCTCAGCCTCCCAAGTAGCTGGAATTACAGACGCGTGCCACCACACCCAGCTAATATTTTTTTGTATCTTTAGTAGAGACGGGGTTTCACCATGTTGGTTAGGCTGGTCTCAAACTCCCGACCTCAGGTGATCCACCCGCCTTGGCCTCCCAAAGTGCTGGGATTACAGGTGTGGGCCTCTTCGCCCGGCCAAGATCCAAATTTCTAAACCTATGTTAAAATTACTCCGTAAATATTCATTTTATAACAGTTAGCTAAATAGGAAGCTCCCCGTATGTGTTATGAGATAGTCACATACGAAATTAAACTTAACTGGAATCACAGTATCTAACTTTTTCAGACTAATTTCTTCCATTAAGCAAGTATACATTTAAGGTTCATCACTGGCAAAGACAGAATTTCGTTATGCTGCCCAGGCTGGTCTCAAACTCCTGGGCTCTCGTGAGCCTCCTGCCTCGGCCTCCCAAAGTGTTGAGATTAGAGTTATGAGCCAGTGCATCTGGCTTATCACTGTCTTTTTGTGGCTTGACAGATTTTTTTTTTTTGAGATAGAGTCTCACTCTGTTGCCCAGGCTGAAGTACAGTAGCATGATCTCAGCTCACTATTGCAGCTTCAACCTCCTGGCCTCAGGTATCCTCCCACCTCAGCCTCCCAAGTAGCTGGGATTACAGGTGCACTCCACCACACCTGGCTAAATTTTTTGTAGAGATGGGGTTTTGTCATGTTGCCCAAGGGTGGTCTTGAACTTCTG
This sequence comes from Homo sapiens, assembly GCF_000001405.40. Lineage (NCBI taxonomy): Eukaryota > Metazoa > Chordata > Mammalia > Primates > Hominidae > Homo > Homo sapiens. The sequence goes on along the minus strand of NW_016107299.1, from coordinate 127,583 downwards.
GGCTCAAGCAATCTTCCCACCTCAGCCTCCCAAAGTGCTAGGATTACAGACATCAGCCACTGTGCTTGGCTGTCCGTTACTTTTTTTTTTTTGAGATGGTCTCCCTCTGTCGCCCAGGCTGGAGTGCGGTGGTGCAGTCTCAGCTCACTGCAACCTCTGCTGCCTGGGTTCAAGTGATCCTCCTGCCTTACCCTCCGAAGTAGCTGGGATAGCAAGCATGTAGCACCACACTTAATTTTTCTATTTTTGGTAGAGTTGGGGGTTTCACCATGTTGGGCAGGCTGCTGGTCTGGAACTCAAGTCATCTACCTGCCTTGGCCTCCCAAAGTGCTGGGATTACAGGCGTGAGCCACCACGTAGGCCCAGCCTGTTCATTACTTTTTATTGCTGAATGATGTTCCCTCATATGGACATATCACATTTTGCCTATCCATTCATCAGTGGATGGACACTTGTTTTCACTGCTTAGCTACTGTAACACTGATACGAACATTTGTGTATAAATGTTTGTGTGGCCATATGTTTTCTGTTCTCTCGTGTGTGTGTGTATAATCTCTCTAGGAACGAAACTGCTGGGCCATATGGTAACTGCTTTAACTTCCTAAAGCAGTTGTACCTTTTCTACTAGCAATGTATGAGGGTTCTAATTTTTCCACATCCTTGTCAACACTTGTTATTATCTGTGTTTTGGATTACAGTCATCCTAGTGCATGTGAAGTGGCACATCACTCTGGTTTCATTTGCATTTCCCTGATGGCTAATGATGTTGAGTATCTTTTCATGCACTTACTGATCATTTACATGAATAGTACTCTTCTTTGGGGAAACATGTTTTTTTTATTATTTATTTATTTATTTATGTATTTTTTAGTAGAGACGGGGTTTCACCGTCTTAGCCAGGATGGTCTCAATCTCCTGACCTCGTGATCTGCCCGCCTCGGCCTCCCAAAGTGCTGGGATTACAGGCGTGAGCCACTGCGCCCAGCCTGTTTTTTTATTTTATTACTATTTTTGAGACAGAGTCTCACTCTTGTTGCCCACGCTGGAGTGCAATGGCACTATCTCGGCTGATCGCAACCTCCACCTCCCAGGTTCAAGCGATTCTCCTGCCTCAGCCTCCCGAGTAACTGGGATTACAGGCATGTGCCGACATGCCCGGCTAATTTTGTATTTTTAGTACAGACGGGGTTTCTCCATGTTGATCAGGCTGGTCTCAAACTCCCAACCTCAGGTGATCCACCCGCCTCAGCCTCCCAAAGTGTTAGGATTACAGGCGTGAGCCACCACGCCCAGCCAGGAAACATTTGTTGAAATCCTTTGAGACTTTTTATTGTTGACTTTTTATTGTTATAGTCCTTTATATATTCTTTATGTATGGCCCTTATCAGATGATTTCCAAATATTTTCTCCCATTCTCTGTGTTATCTTTTTACTTTCTTGATAGTGTCCTACGAAGCATTAAGTTTTAAATTTTGATGAAGTCCAATTCATCTATTTTTTCCTTTGGATGCTTATGCTTTTGGTGTCATACCTAAGAATTCACTGCTAAGCCACAGTCATGAAGATTTATTCAAGTTTCCTTATAAGAGTTTTATAGTGTTAGCTCTTCAATTTAGGCATTTTGAGAGTTTTTGTACATGGTATGAGGTAGGAATCCAACTTCATTCTCTTGCATGTGGATATCTAGTTGCCCTAGCACCATTTGCTAAAAAGAGTATTCTCACCCCATTTAATTAAATTGGGACTCTTGCAAAAAATCAAGTGACCATAAATGTGAGGGTTTATTTCTGGACTCTCAATTCTACTCTATCAGTCTTTATACGTATCCTCATGACAGAAGCACAGTCTTGTTTACTGTAGCTCTGTAGTAAGTTGTGAAATCAGGAATGTGAGTTCTCCAAACTTTTGCTACTTTTAAATATTGTTTTGGCTATTCTATATCCCTTGCATTTCCATATGAATTTTAACATCAGCTTAATAAATTTCTGAGAAAAAGCCAGTTGGAATTTTGATAGGGATTATATTGGATCTATAGCTTATTTTGGGAAGTATATTAACAATATTAATATTCAACAATATTAAGTCTTCCAATCCATGAATATGAGAGGTCTTTCATTTAGGGTTTTTTTTTTTTTTTTTTGATACAGTCTCACTCTTGTTGCCCAGGCTGGAGTGCAATGGTGCAATCTCGGGTCACCGCAACCTCCATCCCCGGGTTCAGGTGATTCTCCTGTCTCAGCCTCCAGAGTAGCTGGGATTACAGGCATGTGCCACTATACCCTGCTAATTTTGTATTTTTAGTAAAGGTGGGGTTTCTTCCTGTTGGTAAGGCTGGTCTTGAACTCCTGACCTCAGGTGATCTGCCCACCTCGGCCTCCCAAAGTGCTGGGATTACAGGCATAAGCCACTGCACCCGGCCTCATTTAGGTCTTTTACAATTTCTTTCAGCCATGTTCTATGGTGTTCCCTAATACATTTTTAATTATTTAATTTATAAAAACTGACTTACAGTAAACAGGTTCAGAGGTACGCCTGTAACAGTGCTTTACCCTCTTACTATCCTATAAAATCCTTAAAGCCAGTGAAAGCACATTCCAATAGCCATAAATCTTTTTTTCTATTTACTCTCTCCAACTCCCTTTTTGAGACGGAGTCTTGCTCTGTTGCCCAGGCTGGAGTGCAAAGGCGCACTCTTGGCTCACTGCAACCTCTGCCTCCTGTGTTCAAGCGATTCTCCTGCCTCAGCGTCCTGAGTAGCTGGGATTATAGGCACACGCCACCACGCCCGGCTAATTTTTGTATTTCACCCTTGTTTCACCATGTTGGTCAGGCTGGTCTCGAACTCCTGACCTTGTGATCTGCCTGCCTCGGCCTCCCAAAGTGCTGGGATTATAGGTGTGAGCCACCCCACCTAGCCCCAATTCCCTATCTTTATCTAAATTAGACCCTGCACACAGCAGAGAGTGTAGAGAAAAAAAAAAAGAACAATTCTCCTATGTCATATCCCAGTCATGCCACTTACTTCCTATATGACCATCACACAATCCAGTCACTCTCTCCAAGCCTCAGTTTTTGTCTCTGCAACATGGGACTAACAAACCCTCCCCTACTAGGAGTGTATTAAAGCCATGATGGTATAAAGCGATAATGGGCCAAACACAGGACTTGGTAAGGTACAAGCAGTCTCTCCATGAATGAGAGCTATTATTAGGTGGGACAGAACCTACAGAACCTATTCTGTAGGTTGTGGACAGAAGTGGGCTGCTCTTGGAAACCACAGAAGTCAACAGGTAAAAGGAGGAAAAGAAGACTGCTGTGAAGAGCACAACACTCACAATGGCTTGGTTGAACTTGGACTCAATCTCCCCAAGCAGCCAGTCGAAGGCCTCCCCACTGAGCCGAAACTCCTCTGCCATGCGGCGGGAACACAACGTGGACCGCAGGTGGATGTTGAAGAGCAGCGTGGCATTTTCCTGGGCCTGTCGACTTAGTGGGTCATCCCCATTCACAATCACCAGCTTCTTGCTCAATTCCTTGACTCCTGGGGACCAATTAAAGGTGAGGAGATCATTAGACCAGGGCCCAGCAGTCTCCTATCCCCTAGCCTGGCTTGGAGACCCCTAAGCAGGTACTTACCCTCCACCACTTTGATGGGGTGCAGGTCGGAGGGAAGGCGTGGGTTGATGTGGAAGATTTTCTGAGCATTCCAGATCATCCGCAGCAGGTTACAGGGGAGGACGACCTGAGAGAGGGGGAAATGGAGGGAGGGCTGTGTCTGGGGACAGCCATCCAGGGAGGCACATCTCTAGCATCAGCACTTCGACCCACACGCACCTTGCTGTCTCCAGTTGGGAAGATGACCCTGAGCACCTCCCGATCCTCCCGCATCCGCTCAAATTCCCGCTCCAACTCGTTCTGGATGTGTGCGTTGCTCAGCACGTCCTTCACCAGGTCCTCCTGCAGAGTGCGCCGCAGGGCCCTCTCATTGGTATAATCAAAGCGGAACCTGGAAGTGCAAGGGGTAGCTAGTGGACAGGTGGGCTCTGGGACCTTGGTCCCCACAAAACGCACTGTAAGGTTCCCAAAGGTGCACAGCCGACCAAGTACAGTGGTTTGGAGGCAAGAATCCTGGACAGAGAAAAATTCAGGCCCAAGGACTGCCACTGGGACCTGAGTACAGGCCCACCCCTCTGCATCTGCTTTATAATATCAGCAGGGACGATGTGGGGACCAATCTTAAATCCACCTCCATCCACCACCTCCCCCATGTCACACAGCTGTTTCAGATAGGTGGGGAAGGATGCTGAAAGGTAAGCTCTAGTGCAAGACACATACCAGGCTATCTCTCTGGAATAGGTATGGGAATCCTACTACTCAGGCCCTGAGCCCCAGGGGCGAGAACCACCCGCCTGCCCGCCTCCTCACTTCTTCTCAAAAGCCTTGTTGGAAGGCTTAAGCGTAGCCAGGTTCTGGAACTCAACGCTCTCGCCTGCCAGGCCGTCTTCGCCGTAGCGCAGCTGCACCACCTGGTTGATGGAGTTCCGCACAGTCGCGTCGTACTTCACCATCACTGACTCCATGGACTTGATCAGCCGCCGCTGGATGTATCCTGGAGGGAAGTAAGGGGATGATAAAGCCCAAAGACCCAGGCTGGGGCCTTAACCTACCTGACTGTCAGAAGAGTCAGCTAGTACTCTCTGTGTCTGAGGCCTTTGAATGCAAACTCAGTGTCTACCACTAGACGGACAAAAAGCCCAGCAGGAACCACTCCCATGGGACAGGCCGGCAGAGCCCCGGAAGCTCTGTCCCTGCACTGTGCAATGCTGCACAGCAATCCAAACAAGGGTGTTTGCCTACTCTTGAGACTCTATTCTTTCCACAAGGGCCAGAATTATACCCTGGGAATAGGAGCCTGAGCATTTCCGCTCCCCACCTGTTAGGGGTTTCTCAGCCTGCAGCAGTCCCTGCTAACAGCCCAAGGAAGACCCCTGAGGAAAGCCTCACCAGTCTCAGCAGTCTTGACAGCCGTGTCAATGAGCCCCTCACGACCCCCCATGGCGTGGAAAAAGAACTCAGTGGGTGTGAGGCCGGCTAGGTAGGAGTTCTCCACAAAGCCACGGCTCTCAGGCCCGTAGTCATCCTTGATGAAGTGAGGCAGAGTCCGGTGCTTGAAGCCAAATGGAATCCGCTTGCCCTCGACGTTCTGCTGTCCAACGACAGCAATGACCTGGGAAACAGAAAGGTGGTGTATACTGAATTCCCTCTGCCTTAAGAATAACAGTTCCCAAAATTTCCCCCAACTCCCGTGATTCTCCTGACCCTAATACATACAAACACCTTCCTTCCTCCTCCCAAACTTCACAGCGGCCCCGTATATGGAAAAACAAGGCTTCTCACCTGGGAGATGTTAATCTTGGAACCTTTAGCTCCGGACACGACCATAGACTTGAAGTTATTGTATTCAGACAGGGATTTCTGAGCAGAGGAGCCAGTCTTGTCTCGGGCATCGTTAAGAATGCGGTTCACCTGATTCTCAAACGTCTGCCGCAGAGTGTTCCCTGGGGTGGGCTCCAGCTCATTGTTGTGTGCCTTCTCGATGACCTGGAGGCAGAGTTCTCGGTGAGACATCAATCCCTACTCTCTGCCCCTTCCCTCTAACCTTACACTCCCTTTGCTCTTGATGATGCTAACTTCGAAGTCCCTGGAAACCCCTTATTCCGTCTCTGGTGGCCTCCCCTCTTACCTCTATTACGTCCTGCTTGGCCTTCTTAATAGTGTTCTGAATGTCCTGGTAAGTCTTAGAATCAGCAATGGAGTCCCCAATGCCAATAGTATGACCTAGAGACAGGGAAAAACATCAGCAAACCCCTTTGGACCTCTAAGAAACATGGAATGGAATTATAGCCAAGAGAGTAGAAGCAGGGGGCACCAAATCCAAGGAGGAAAGAAAGGGATGGAAGGACAGTAAGAAGTTAGAGAATTCACAGAGACGTCTTGGTACCACGCCTCCATGCTCACCCTCGATGAGGAGCCAGTTGTTAATGACAGTCTGAATGTTGGAGTAGAAGAGGCGAGTGATGTCATGACCCATCTCTAGGTAGGAGATGTGGACCAGGGAGCCAGCTGACGTGCCCAGAGACTTCTTACACAGGATGCCCATGATCAGCTCCCCATTCTCCACCACCACCTAAGGACAAAGCACCCACTCAAGGCCCCTGCTCTGGTCCTGGCTCCCACGTCCAAATTCTGTCCTCACATATCCAGAAGCCAAGCCCTACCTTGGTGTCCCCAGGAGAGATGTGCTTGTAAGGGCCACTGTCTTCATCATCGGGATGGGTGCTGTGGGTACGGATACAATTGATGTGACCAGGTATGATGAGGGAGAAGATTTGCTTGCCTGTCCACAGGGGCCGGGGCTTTAGGATGGCCGGCTGTGGGACCTTCCCATCCCACGTCGACAGGAACATCAGGAGGTTCATCACTTCACCCTGTAAGACAAAGAGTAAGGCAGACAGAAGTCAGAGTGCAGGCCCCACATCTCAGGGATGATAGAGAAATGTTGGGGAGGTTTCCCTGCCCAAGGGAGAAAGCCAGATTTTGGAGGCAAAGATGACAGGAAAAGTTTTTTCCAACCTTTAATTTTTTGAGACAGGGTCTTGCTGTTTACCCAGGCTGGAGTGCAATGGTGCAATCAGGGCTCACTGCAACCTCCGCCTCCTGGGGTCAAGCAATTCTCCTGCCACAGCCTCTCAAGTAGCTGGGATTACAGGCACCTGCCACCATGTCCGGCTAATTTTTGTATTTTTGGTAGAGACGGGGTTTCTCTATGTTGGCCAGAGTTGTCTCCAACTCCTGGCCTCAAATGATGTGCCTGCCTCGGCCTCCCAAAGTGCTAGAATTACAGGTGTGAGTCACCATGCCCAGTCCCAAAAACTTTTTTTTTTTTTTTTTTGAGACGGAGTCTCGCTCTGTCGCCCAGGCTGGAGTGCAGTGGTGTGATCTCGGCTCACTGCAAGCTCTGCCTCCCGAGTTCACGCCATTCTCCTGCCTCAGCCTCCCAAGTAGCTGGGACTACAGGCTCATGCCACTACGCCCGGCTAATTTTTTGTATTTTTCAGTAGAGATGGGGTTTCACCGTGTTAGCCAAGATGGTCTTGATCTCCTGACCTCGTGATCCACCCGCCTCGGCCTCCCAAAGTGCTGGGATTACAGGCGTGAGCCACTGCGCCCGGCCCCAAAAACTTTTAATTAAAAATTCATTGTAATACTGAAATTTTTGTTTTTGTTCTTAACAATAAGCATAAATTTCTTTTAATAATTAGGAAATAAGTGAAGGTTAAAATAGAAAAATAAAATTTGAACAAGGTCTTACTTATTTTTCCCTTTATCTTTCCTTTACAGGCAATACCTGGTATTACATGAAATTTTAAGGAATTAAATGGGGAATTAACGCCTTACACCTTTTTGGCCTGAGTTTTCCTAACCCCCTTTTTGTTCGCCCACCAGAAAAGACAATCTCACAGACCACTGCTGGGTAAGTCAGGAAAAAAAACACAGCTCTTCCTCTCTAGCCTCCACCTTGCACCCCAGAGCCCCACTGCCCACTTAAGCCAGGTTTCCATTTGGACCACACACCCGCTCCAGGAAGACGTCTCTCTTGGTGAATTTGCGCACTGCTGTGAGTGTGTCCTGCACAATACCCATGACAGGCCGATTGCTCTGGGGGGTGACAATCATGCGAGGAACCATGGCCAGCTCCTGGATCTCTGCTCGCGTCTCCAGAGACTGTGGCAGGTGCAAGTTCATCTCATCCCCGTCAAAGTCTGCATTGTACGGAGTTGTCACACTACAGTTAAAGAGAAAAGTCAGGGTTGGGAAGATGTCTGCAGCGAAACCTTGAGGAGCCACCCAGCCTGCCCGCCTCCCACCAATTCCAGCCTGCTTCCCTCAGCCAGGGACTGACCTAAGATTCAAGCGAAAGGTAGACCATGGGAGAATGCGGACCCGATGCCCCATCATGGACATTTTGTGCAGAGTTGGCTGCCGGTTGAAGATAACAATGTCCCCATCACACATGTGCCGTTCCACCTAGAGAGGTGAGGTAAGGAAAAGGTCTCAGTGAAGGAGGTATCTAAGAATAAAAGGACAATGGACCTAAAGTCCTTTGCAAGTCCAGTGCAGTGGCTCACACCTATAATCCAAGCACTTTGGGAGGCTGAGGCGGGCACGTCACTTAAGCTCAGGAGTTTGAGACCAGCCTGGTCAACATGGTGAAACCCCATCTCTACTGAAAATACAAAAATAAGCTAGGTGTGGTGGCGCGCGCCTGTAATCCTAGCTACTCGGGAGGCTGAGGCAGAAGAATCGCTTGAGCCTGGGAGGTAGAGGTTGCAGTGAGCCAAGATCACAGCACTGCATTCTACACTCCAGCCTGGGCGATAGAGCGAGACTGTCTTCTTTAAAAAAAAAAAAAAAAAAAAAAAAGTCCTTTGTAAACTGAAAAGAGATGACATCGTGGTGCTAATTCACTTGAAACACTTATTAAACACTCCTCTGGACAAGGCCCTGGGCCAAACACCAGGTTATCAGGGATGAATAATACACAGCATTCACCAATCTCAAGGAACTCAGTCTAGAAGAAAAGCAAGAGAGATTCTGAACATAAAGCCTTCTGCACTGTTCCTCCACGGATCCCTCTTCCCTGCCATATGCAAGCTGCCCCGGGTTTATACCACCCCCACCCTGAATGCCAGAGACCAACAGCTCCCTGCACACCTGGGCAGCAACAGCCTTTAACAAGACAGTCAAGTCTGGATCCCAATGAACGAGACAGACTCAGATGGCCTAACCCAGCCTGCCCTATCTTGGAAAGCTTTCTGCTCAGGTGGCTGAGAGAGGCCCTGGCCTGCTACGTGCCTTATAGCCGGTCTGCAGGTGAAGGTCACTGGGCTTGGGGTGGAAACGCAAGTCAATGCGATCACCATTGTCTCGGATGATGTACTTGGCGCCTGGGTACTGGCTGTTCCCCCTGCGCACTAGTTCTTGAAGTCTAGGAAGGAAAGAGGTGCAATGAACTCAATGCTTCCTAAAATACCCCTGCAGCCACCCTCCCTGAGTGGAAGTTAAACTTCAGAACTTCAATTCCTCCTTGCTCCAAGCCCACGCCCGAGGTAGGAGGAGCAGACTCTCGAAGCCTTGCCACTGAGGCCATGTCTTCCCTAGCCATTCCAGGAAGGGCTTTCCAACGGAGGCACACCTGTCAATGTTGAAGGGGGTGACAATCTCCGCAAAGGTCATGTTGGCAGCAATGGAGCGGGGCACGCCAACCTGGTCAATGGAGAGGTTGGGGTCGGGGGTGATGACAGTACGGGCCGAGAAGTCCACTCTTTTGCCCATCAGGTTCCCTCGCACCCGGCCTTCCTTGCCCTTCAACCGCTGCTTCAGGGACTTGAGGGGACGCCCAGACTTCTGCATGGCCTGTGAGGAAAAAACACAGGGTGGGGGCAATCCAGAAAGTCAGCACTGGGCCCTCTTCCAGAGCTCTGAAGCCTCATGCTAGCCCCCACCCTGGCTCCAATACACAGAGGGGTGGGGAGCATGCTGACTCACACGGGGCAAGCCAGGCAGCTCATTGTCCACCATGGTGGCCACATGGAACTGGAGGAGCTTCACATCCTCTGCAATGACATGGGCCGCTGCGCCGTTCTGCTCATTGCGCCGCAGCTGATTGTTGATCTTCACGATGTCAGCCAGTTTGTGAGTCAGGTCATCCTGAGGCAGGAAGTCAGAATCATCATGGTCCAGCCACCACTGCCAGCGCTCGGCAGGAACGTACCAGGCACACAGCACAGCTCTCATCCTCACACCACCCCAGGAGGCAGGACTGCCCACTATCATTTATAGATTCAGAAACACGTTTGTGGCCTTTAACCATGTGAAAGGACTCATTAAAGATCATACAGCTAGTAAGTAGCAGGGGAATTTTCAAACCCAGGTCCATCCACCCATCCCCACCTACAGGTCTTCCTCCCTTTAGACACCTCGCCCTCCAGCTAAGAGGCAGAGCCCTGGAGCCACTGACCTGGTTACGGGCAGAGCCCTGCATCACAACAGCAGGCCGCACGGAGAGCGGGGGCACAGGCAGCACTGTGACAATCATCCACTCTGGCCGTGCATAGCGGGGCTCCATGCCCAGCACAAAACACTCCTCATCTGAGATGCGTTTGAAGATCTCATGCACTCGCTCTGGACTCAGCAGGATCTTCTTCTCCTGAGAGTCCTCATTAACGTGCTTCCATTCCGCATACAGCTCTAGGCCAGAACGCCGGATCCTGGGCTGGTACCGCCCACAGCCACCATGGCCCTTCCAAGGAGAGACAGGGGCCATCAGAGCCCAGAGGGTGGGCCATTTCCCTCCACACCAGGCCAGCCCCTCCTGTTTCCTTCCCTTCCAGTTTCCTCCCTCCAGGCCTCTGACCCCTCCTTCCCAAAAGTCTCCGCCAGCCCCAGCCACCTTTTCTTTGGTCAGATCCTCGTCACCCTCAGGTTGTTCCACACCGAACTTGTTGTCCATCTCCTCCCCACCCTCGCATATGTTTTTGCCCTTGCAAAGGTCGTAGACATGTGTGAGCCGCTTCTTGGGCTGTCCCTTGGACTTAGCCAGGATATCCTTGATCTTTGGGTTGTTCTGGGGACAGGGCAGAGCAGGGTCAGTTGAAGCTGTCCCCCTGCCCCCTACCAAGCACCCCCGCTCCCAGACCAGAGCCTGTTCCCCACTCACAGAGTCCACAAGCAGTTTGGAGCAGAAGAAGCAGACACAGCGCAAAACTTTCATTGTCTTCACCAGGAAGCCCACGTGAAACACAGGCTTGGCCAGTTCAATGTGGCCAAAGTGGCCAGGACACTCTGTCATGTTTCCTGTGGGACACACACCCAGTGCTTTCCTCCCAGCTCCCACTCATCTCAGAGGCCTCCAGGTGTCAACCGTCAGCCCTAGTTTTGAGGACCCAACCCACCTCCCCTTTGGGATCCCACCTGGCCCCCCAGCACTTACCTGCACATGTTTGGCAGCGGCCAGTCCGCTCAATCACCCCCTGCCTCGGGTCCATCAGCCCCCCAAGCTTGGGGCGGCCTCCCTCAGTCGTCTCTGGGTATTTGATGCCACCCTCCGTCACAGACATTCGCTTCTGCAAAGAAAGAAAGGCCAACAACTGAACAGCGTTCCTAGTTTCTAGCCTTTGTGGCTGGGGAGCTCTGGACTAAGGTCTGGGAAAACCCTGAACTACTTACAGAAGAACTAAGTTTAGCCTGGAGTGAGGGGAATGGGGGATTGGTGTGTGTACACTTCTGAAAAGGCCAAAGTTGAATATCCCAAGTCAGAGGCTTATTCCAGTCACTGAGGCAGGAAAAGCACTCACACTAGATAATGGTCGATCCTGGGTTCCATACAAATCACCTGCTACTGGGACATGAACCCCAGACTTCCATCTGGGTTGAATTCTAGGTCTCTGACATCCATAGGATTTAGCCACAAAAAGAAATCAAAGTTGCTTCAGGAAAAACAAAAAAACAAAACAATGCTTTATTTGTTCCTCCCAAGCAGAAATCAAGCTCATGAATCTGAGATCCTGGCAGAAGCCTCTCTGTACCTGTACCCTCGCCATGACAGCCCAGGTGTTCTGCACCAAGACATGCCCCGCCAACTCAAGCCCCTGATAAGAAACGAGGCACTCAGAGATGCAGCCCTGTTTCTTTTCCCTCATCTTTGTCATGCCCTCCTTCTCAAGGCCTGAACTGCTTGAACCCTTTCGTGTCCAGATGGAGATTTTATTATTGGTTTTGTTTTGTTTTGAGATGGAGTCTCGCTCTGTCGCCAGGCTGGAGTGCAGTGGCGCAATCGCAGCTCACTGCAACCTCTGCCTCCCGGGTTCAAGTGATTCTCCTGCCTCAGCCTCCCAAGTAGCTGGGACTACAGGTGAGCGCCACCACATCGAGCTAATTTTTGTATTTTTAGTAGAGACAGGGTTTCACCAGGTTGGCCAGGATGGTCTCTTGACCTCATGGTCCACCCGCCTCGGCCTCCCAAAGTACTGGGATTACAGGCGTGAGCCACCGCGCCAGGCCAGAGATTTTATTAAAAGACTGGAGAAACAGGTGCTAGAAAAACAGGTTGGTGGAAATGATTTGAAGCAAAAGTGAATAGCTGGAATCCCAAGAAAGGAAGAGCCAGGACTTGATGGGGACATTTCAATGAAGGAAAGGAGGAAACAGAAGAACTCAGAAGTAGATGGGCCGGGTGCGGTGGCTCACACCCGTAATCCCTGCACTTTGGGAGGCTGAGACGGGTGGATCACCTGAGGTCAGGAGTTTGAGACCAGCCTGGCCAACATAGTGAAACCCCATCTCTACTAAAAATACAAAAAAATTAGCTGGGTGTGGTGATGGGTACCTGTAATCCCAGCTACTCGGGAGGCTGAGGCAGGAGAATCACTTGAACCCAGGAGGCGGAGGTTGCAGTGAGCTGAGATCGCACCACTGCACTTCAGCCTGAATGACAGAGCAAGACTCCGTCTCAAAAAAAAAAAAAAATTGTAATGCTATTGTACACTTAGACTTAGTAGACTACAGCATAGTACTAATGTAACATGCACAATGGCAACCAAAAAACTCCATGTGACTTGCTTTATTGCGGTGGGCTGGAACCAAACTCACAGTATCTCCAAGGTATGCTTGGATACTCATTCTCAACTCTCTAATTCCAGGCCTTACTTTTCTTCTGGACTTTGGGTTCACGTATGTGACTACCTACTGAACCCCCTGCAAACATCACACCAAAAAATCAAATTAAACATGTTTAAAAGCAAACTCTCTTTTCCACAAAAGCTTCTCTTTTTCCTTTAGTCTCTATCCCAGATTCAGAAACCTATGCTTACCTTTCCTTACCTTCAAGCACAAAACAGTCCAAAGAACATGGACTTAGCTGTCGGGCACCCTTGCTTTGGAATTCTGCCTATATTACTTATGAACTATGTAACCATTAAGGACTTAATTAGCTTGCTTAAGTCCAGGATGTAATTGGCGCTTTATGAATGGACATTATTATTATTCAGTCATTCACCAGGTACTGGTCACTTTTACCTCCCTTTTTTTTTTAAGAAGTCTTGCTCTGTCACCCAGGCTGGAGTGCAGTGGCGGGAATCTCAGCTGGGTTTACACACATAAGCCACCACGCCTGGCCTCCTAAGTGTTTCTTGAATCTTGCCTCTCTTCTCCATCCCCACCACCATTGCCCTAGTTCAGGCCCTTCCTTTGTAGTCTACAACAGAGCGTTCCTATGGGTCACCAGCCTGTCTCTCTCCAATCCTTCTACATTACAACTGGGGTGCTCATTCTAAAATAAAAATGTGTGCTAAAAATAAATAAAATAAAAATTAATAATAAACTAAAAATGTAATCATTCATACCCTCTTGTCCTCAGACTGACATCCAAACTCAGCAGGACAGCTTCCCAAAAGGATTTTATGATGTTCTCAACCTTCATTTCCCTGATGCTCCACACCTTCCTGTTCACTCCTCAGTAACAATTCCCTGGAGTCGCCTATCACATCCAGCGCAACACGTGCTGCGTTCCTCCGGGGTTTTCTATATGCTAGTGCCTCTCTGCTTGGAATGCTCTTCCCACTGCAAAACTCCTATTTCAAGACTCGGCTCAGGCACTGCTTCCTCCAGGAAGCCTTTCCACAGCCTGCCCAAAGTAGACAGGCACCCCTCCTCTGTGCTTCCACAGCCCTCTATCACTGCACATACAACAATGCAATAAAATGACCTATGGGGGTCTGTCTTCCCTATAACTATAAGCACCTCTCAGGCAGGCAGAATGCCTCAACCATCCTGAATCCCATGTGCCTGCCTGAAACATGGTGGGCTCCTAACAAATGTCTGTTAAATTGACCTACTGCTTAGGACTCTCCACTGGAGGGAGGTACCCTCAAAAAACTTGGAAAAAGAGAGGTTACCCTCTGACAGTCAAACCAGTAATCCCCTCATAATAGGTCTGATTGGCCACTGCTGGGTAGAAACCAAAATGGTCTACAGATGCAAAGCTGAAGAAGTTCTGCACACCTCTCAGCCTCAGACAGGTTCAAAACTCTCATCAACATGACCTGATGAAATCTCAGGAAGACAGTCCTCATGGATGACTACATTTGCAAAGCTGGAACCTCATCAGCTGCATTGTCTGGTGAGAAACATGAAGGGGATTTGCTCACCTTGAATGAGACCAAAAAAAGCGGAAGCAGTTACGTATCTGGCCTCCACAACAGACACTGCAGAGGGGCCTAAGAGAAATCAGGCTCAACATTTTCAACCTCTTTCTGCTCAAAGTCTATGCCGACCAAGCCAACCACCCTTCTAATGACTAATTCTGCTTTCAGGCTTTCTGAGACCGGGTCAGGGGGTGTCCTAGACAGCAGACACGCATATCCTTGTTAATGAGAAGAGCTATCCCTCCATCACCAAGTTCACGAACTCTCATTTTTTATTTTATTTTACTTTTTTTTTTTGAGACAGGGTCTTGCTGTCACCCCGGCTGGAGTGCAGTGGTACAATCTCGGCTCACTGCCACCTCTGCCTCTCAGGTTCAAGTGATTCTTGTGCCTCAGCCTCCCAAGTAGCTGGAATTACAGGTGCTCACCACACTTGGCTAATTTTTGTATTTTTAGTAGAGACAGGGTTTCACCATGTTGGCCAGGATGGTCTCAAACTCCTGGCCTCAAGTGATCCACTCACCTTAGCCTCCCAAAGTGTTGGGATTACAGTCGTGAGCCACCGCACCAGGCCTCAAACTGTCATTTTAAATTAGCCCCCAACCCTTCGGCCAACAATGGTTCTCACTGCCTACAGGATAAAGGTTAAACACTTGAGGGGGTGGCCAGTCAGGCTGGGTTCTCTTTGGGTTCTGCCCCTGAGGCCACAATAACAAAAGGGCTGTCATTGAATCTCAGTAAATACTCGTCCTCTTTCCTCTGCTTTAGCAAAGCTAACAAGGTCCTTATTACAATTTGGCTTCAAGTTGCTTTTACAGCTTTATTTGGTACCACATTCTCCTACCCGCCTCCCACATTTATGTTCTAAATACAATAGATTTCTCAAATCTCCTTTTGCTTCACACACCCCCTTGGGAGTAAACTTCTATTTATTCTTTAAGACCCAGTTCAGAGGTCACCTCCTTATGAAGTCTTCTCTAACTCTTCCTAGTCTTATGCACACCCCAGCAAGGTTCTCAGCCCAATTTTAATTACTTGGTGACACATCTGTCTCTCTCATTGGACTGTAATCCTTGAGGGCAAGGGTCATGTTTTCTCTTCATATCCTCAGCACCTAGCACAGTAACCAACATATGGTTGAGGCTCAGTAACTATTTGCTGCATACATAGGAAATCCCTCACAAGATTATAGGTAACTTGAAAACAAGGATCATCTTCTCACTCATCAATGTAGCCCACACTCTACCTAAAAGAATACATTATTGACCAGGCGCAGTGGCTCAAGCCTGTAATCCCAGCACTTTGGGACGCCAATGCAGGCAGATCACCTGAGGTCAGGAGTTCGAGACCAGCCTGGCCAACATGGTAAAACCCTGTCTCTAATAAAAATACAAAAACTAGGCCAGGTGCGGTGGCTCATGCCTGTAATCCCAGCACTTTGCGAGGCCAAGGTGGGTGGATCACAAGGTCAGGAGTTCGAGACCAGTCTGGACAACACAGTAAAATCCCGTCTCTACTAAAAATACAAAAAAGAAATTAGCTGGGTGTGGTGGCGTGCTCCTGTAGTTCCTGCTACTCGGGAGGCTGAGGCAGAAGAATCGCTTGAATCCAGGAGGCAGAGGTTGCAGTGAGCACAGACTGTGCCACTATACTCCAGCCTGGGCAACAGAGCTGGAGTCCGTATCAAAAAAAAAAAGAACAGATTACTGCTTTAAATCCTTATTTAAATAAGTCAGGGTATAAATAAGTTATGCATTCCATGATAGACAGTTGTTTTTAATGAATAGGGGTCAACTACTGCGAAGGAAATCCAGCACCCTCTTTCCCCAAAATTTTGTGCACACGCTGGTACAAAGCTCTAGTACCAACCCGCCTTGTAACCTTCCCCTCACCTAGCAACATCTAAATCCATCTTCTAACAGCAAGGACAACAGCTCTATCTCAAAGCCAATTCAAAGACCCCTCCGTACCTCCATACACTCTGACCCCTAAGACTTCTGTAAAACATTTTAGCCTAAAATACCACCTGTTTCACAACAAGAGGCACCTTACTCACCCTCACCCATCCTTCTACCCAAAATTGAACCGTCTGTTGGTCCCTCAAAATACAGACATCGTATAAACTGCAAGACATGCAGAGCACTATCGAAGCCCAACAATCCTACACCCCAGAGATGACTCTGGTAGAGCTTTGTCAACAGTGTCCCATACTTTTATTTGTTATTATTCCATCTTGGGTCAGTACAACCTCCGCCTACCAGGTTCAAGTGGTTCATATGCCTCAGCCTCCCAAGTAGCTGGGATTACAGGCACCCACGACTACACCCAGCTGCTTTTTATATTTTTAGTACAGACGGGGTTTCACTAGGCTGGACAGGATGGTCTTGAACTCTTGACCCTCGGGGATTTGCCCACCTTGGCCTCCCGAAGTGCTGGGATTACAGGAGTGAGCCACCGTGCTCAGCCCATTTGTTATTATTATTTTTAAATTGAGATAGGGTCTTGCTGTGTTGCCCAGGCTGGTCCTGAACTCCTGGCCTCAAATGATCCTCCTGCCTCAGGCTCCGAAAGTGCTGGGATTACAGGCATGAGCCACGGCATGCATTTTTTTTCATGCTTTAAAAAAACCGTAAATACGTTCCCACTTTAACATAAGGCCTTCACTCTGCATACTTCTGAGTAACTTTTTCATTTATCCATAGATTCCCTAACATTATCAACAGCCCACAGTGCCCTTACCATTTCAGTAACTCTCACAGCACTTACTAGGTCAAAAGAGAGCCACAGCCGAGCGCGGTGGCTCACACCTGCAATCCCAGCACTTGGGGAGGCCAAGGTGGGCAGATCACTTGAGGTCAGAAGTTTGAGACCGGTCTGGCCAATGTGGTGAAACCCTGTCTCTACCAAAAATACAAAAATTGCCGGGCATGGTGGCGGATGCCTGTGATCCCAGCTGCTTGAGAGGCTGAGGGAGGAGAGTAGCTTGAACCCAGGAGGCAGAGGTTACAGTGAGCTGAGATCTCACCTCTGCATTCCAGCCTAGGCAACAGAGCAAGACTCCATCTTTCCAAGAAAAGACAGCAATTTATTAAGCACCTAGACCCAAACAACTTAAGCATTTATGTCCTAGGAACTTACTAGCCATTTGAGAAAATACACACAAGTTGAAAATACTATTAATATATTAAAACAAAATAACATTTTTATTTCTTTACCAAATAACCATCTCACTCACTTATGGCGCCTGTTAGGCACTGCACCTCTCAAACCTTGGAATCAGACTAAACAGCACCACCTTTATTTCTTCTACAAACTGATTTTTGCCTGTACTTAGCAACTGCTAAAAACCCAGTTTCACAAAAATATGACATTATAGAAAGGGATTTGGCACCATCTAATGTTGAAACAGAACTACCAGGAACTAGGAGTTCCAGGGTATCTGACAAATGTACCTGTGTTTCTCTTGGAAATTTAAAATACCTCACTGTGCCCACCGTGTGCCACAGTGTCTCAGGGCATCAGCACAGTGTGGGACCTTATTGGGAAGTTCCTCTATTACATTGTAAGAATACACCCTAAGTTATTCAACAGGATTCCTATTAGTAAATACCGAGTAATTTATAATTGTCACTTTCAAACAATGTTGCAATAAAAGTCCTTCTACATTATCTATGCATATTTGCCCAATTATTTCATTCACTTGTTTATTCAACTAATTTTTATTACATGTCTATCATGTGCCAGGCACTACCTGAGATACTAAGGGAACATGAATAACACAGACAAAGTCCCTCATGAAATTCATTCTCTAGCAAGGAAGCAAGAAACAGAAAAACTAATCCTTTCTGGAGTGACAGGCTGTGAAGGAAAATATAGCAGAGAATGATCAGAGAAAACAAGGGAAGGGCGGGGGATGCTATTTAAACAGAGTGGTCAGGGAAGCGCTCCTAAAGATATGACATCGGCCAGGCGCAGTGGCTCATGCCTGGAATCCCAGCACTTTGGGAGGCAGAGGAGGGGGATCGCTTGAGCCCAGTTCACCAGCCTAGGTAACATAGTGAGAACCCATCTCTACAACAAATTTAAAAATTAGGCATGGTGGTATGAGCCTGTTGTCCCAGCTACTGAGGTGGGGGTTGGGGGTCTGTCTGAGGTGGGAGCATTTTTTTTTTTTTTTTGAGACGGAGTCTCGCTCTGTTGCCCAGGCTGGAATGCAGGAGCGCAATCTCGGCTCACTGCAAGCTCCACCTCCCGGGTTCACGCCATTCTCCGGCCTCAGCCTCCCAGGTAGCTGGGACTACAGGCACCTGCCACCACGCCCTGCTAATTTTTTGTATTTTTAGGGGAGACGGGGTTTCACCGTGTTAGCCAGGACGGTCTCGATCTCCTGACCTCGTGATCCGCCCGCCTCAGCCTCCCAAAGTGCTGGGACTACAGGTGTGAGCCACCGCGCCTGGCCTTTTTTTTTTTTTTTTTGAGACAGTCTCACTCCGTCACGCAGGCTGGAGTGCAATGGCACAGTATCAGCTCAATGCAACCTCGACCTCCCAGGTTAAACTGATTCTCCTACCTCAGCTTCCCTAGTAGCTGGGACTACAGAGGCGTGCCACCACACCTAGCTAATTTTTGTATTTTTAGTAAAGACAGAGTTTCACTATTTTGGCCAGGCTGGTCTCAAACTCCTGACCTCGTTATCTGCCCACCTTGGCCTCCCAAAGTGCTGGGATTACAGACGTGATTGAGCCTGGCCAGGGAGCATCTTTTGAGCCCAAGAGGCTGCAGTGAGCTGGGATCGAGCCACTGCACTCCAGCCTGGGGGACAGAGGGATACCCCGTGTCCAAAAAAAAAAAAAGATATGCCATTTCAACACAGAACATACAGACATAAAGGAACAGGCATGCAGAGCAGAGGTCTGAGCAACGTTGTTCCAAGCAGGAGGAATAGTGAATAATAAAGTCCTTGAGGTGGGAATAAGCTTGCAGTGTTAGAGGAGCAAGCAGTCAGCGTGGTTCAAGAAAAGCAAAGAGGAGACTAGTAATGAGATGGAGAAGCAAGCAGGAGCCAGATAAAACAGCACTTTATAGGTCAGAGTAAGGAGTCCTGAAACCTCTGGAAAGGATTCTATGAAGGGAAGGGATGAAGAGATCTCTCTAGCCTGTTCTAGCTGTTCTTACAAACTGTAGGAAGACCAATTAGGGCTCTATAGCACCCCACAGGAAAGATGACAGTAGGGTGGGATATGGTGGGACATGGTGGTGGAGATGGTCATAAATGGCTGGATTCCAGGCATATTTTGAAAGGTAGGACTGACACTCTGGCAGATGGACTAAGTGGAGATTGTGAGAAAGAGAATCAAAGATGGCTTTTAGATTTTTGGCCTGAGCAAATGGATGAATGGAGAAACTATTTAATGAACCATGCAAGACTGGGAAAGGGGCATCATTGAGGGGATAATTAAGCTTTTTTAACCTAAGGATGAATTTTTATAAGTGGTAATGCTTGATCAAATGATTTACATATTAAAAGGTTGATAAAATTGTTAGACCAGAGGCCGGGCATGGTGGCTCATGCCTGTAATCCCAGCACTTTGGGAGGCCAAGGCGGGCGGGTCCTCTGAGGTCAGGAGTTCAAGACCAGCCTGGGCAACACGGCAAAACCCCATCTCTACTAAAATACAAAAATAGCCAGGCATCGTGGCACACGCCTGTAATCCCAGCTACTTGGGAGGCTAAGGCAGGAGAATCGCTTGAACCCGAGAGGTGGAGGTTGCAGTGTGCCAAGATCGTGCCACTGCACTCCAGTCTGGGCAACAAGAGTGAGATTCCATCTCGAAAAAAAAAAAATTGTCAGACCATCCTCCAAAAAGGTTATACCAATCTATCTTTCTACCAACAATGTATAAGCACGTCTATTTCCCAGTATTTTTGCCAGCAGGGAAAAAAAATCAGATGAGAAAAAATTTTATTTTAATCTGGATTTTTTTTATTAGAAAGTCTACTCTTTGTTGGCCATTTGCACTATTTCTGTGAACTGCCTATTCATCTCCTTTACCCATTTTTCTAGTAGATAGGTACTTTCCTTACTGATTTGTGTTCCTTGTACATCAATAAATTTAACCTTGTCTGCGTAATTGCAAATACTGTTTCCTGATCTGTTTTTCAGCTTTGCCACAGTGCCTCTATAAACAGAAGTGGCTCTTATTTTTATGTAGTGAAATCTGCCTTGGTCTTCCTTATATATAACGTTTAGCTCATTTTAGGCACTCCATAAAATTTGCCTATAATTAATTCACTACTATTAAGGACTTCTGTCTCTGGTATCAGCCCTGCAAAAGCCTTCTATTTTTTTTCTAGTGCTTTATGGGTTTTTTTAGGTTTAAGTCTTAACTTCATCTGGAACTGATTCTGTGGTATGGTGTGAGGTCAGGACGTTCTGACTCCTGACATAGCTGAACTTTCTCCCAGCAAAAATGGTCTCTATCCACAAACAGCCACTTAACTCCATTCTTTCCAGCCAGTGGGCTCCTCTACTTAGCGCCACAAGGGAAAAAGTCCAAGTCACCAATAGCTCTCCCCTAGGGCTGCCCTCCTCTCTCTGGTCTCTCCTCCTCTCGCATCAGTTCTTCATAGAGCAACTACAGCAGTAGTTTTTTCAAATGTGCTGTCACTCTGTTTATAATTGTCAACGACTACCTACTGAAAATGGAATTAAGTCCTGACTCCTTACCATAATATACAATATCCCATGCTTCTCCAGCCTATTTCTGTAACACTCTTCTCTCATCCACTAAACCTCAGCCACACCGGCCGCCTTTCACCCTGTAGGACAAGCCCAAGTTCATTTCTCCCTCAGGCCCTTTGCACTTGCTATTTCCTCTGCCGGAAAAGCTCTCGCCATCCAAACTATGGCTTCGACGACTGGCTGCCTCTCATCATTTGGGTAATGTCTTCTAAGATAGGCCTTCCCAGACCCTGACGCCATCCCATCTAAAGTAGCCCCACCTCGACGGGCGCGGTAGCTCACGCCTGTAATCCCAGCACTTTGAGAGGCCGAGGCGGGTGGATCACCTGAAGTCAGGAGTTCAGCCATTGCACTCTGGCCTGGGGAATAAGAGCGAAACTCCGTCTCAAAAAAAAAAAAAAAAAAAAAAAGACGGGGGAGAATCACCTCAGGGCAGGCGTTCGAGACCAGCCTGGCCAACATGGCAAAACCCCTCCTCTACTAAAAATACAAAAATTAGCGGGGCATGGTGGCGCATGCCTGTAATCCCAGCTACTCAGGAGGCTAAGGCAGGAGAATCGCTTGAACCCGGGAGGCGGAGATTGCAGTGAGCCGAGATCGTGCCATTGCACTCCAGCCTGGGCGACAGAGCAAGACTCCGTCTCAAAAAATAAAATAAAATAAAAATAAAAAAATAAAGTAGCCCCAGCTCAGTGACTCTCCATGGGATTACCCCTTTTCACTCTATTCGAGACAAATGCCATTAACTGAATTATCTCATTCATTCATTGTATTCATGTTTACTGCTTGCCCTTTCCCACAGACAGTGCTCTTGAAGGTAGGGTCCTGGTCTGTCGTGTTCACCTCTGTAACCCGAGTCTCCTGTGTCTTCAACAGAGCAGGTGCTCAGTTAACATTTGTATTACAGAAGAGGAGGAAGCTACCCGGGTTTGGCTTCTTAACCAAACTTGTAAAGACTCCCTAGGATTCGTCGGATCGCCTTTAACGTCGGTAACTCTGGAGTGTGAAATCAGTCATCCTTCTCTCCCTCCTTCTCACCCTCCAGCCAGCCCCCCATCTCGGACAAAGCGCTACGCCTGCTCAACTCTTTGCAAAATATAACTCTGGGAGGCCCGAGACTGGCGCCTACACGGCCTTGGCGCTGCTGAGCCATGCTCCTGGCCCGTCACCCATAAGCAGCGAGAAAGCGCCAAGTTTCCGCAGCCCCCGTCCGGCCCCGCCCGCCAGGGGAGGAGGGGGGAAGGGGAGGACAGAGCCGCTTACCAGTTCATCCGGACTCAGGACTCCGAACTGGACTCTCTTGATGGTGCGCAGCGGGCATGCGCTGTCCCCCGAGGGGGGGCCACCCCCGTGCATGGCGGAGGCAGGCGCGCTGCGCAGGCGCAAACCTCACTACAAAAAGCCTGCGCCGCCTCCGCCTAGGTGCTCAGACCTCGTCAGGGCGGCCACCGGGAAGGACCTCCCCGAGTTGGGAGGAAAAAGCCGGAGGAGGGGAAGGTGGGGGAGGGAAGGAGGCGGGGAAATAAGGAGCGAAAGGAGCCCTTCTTTCCCTTACCGGAAATTTTTCAGCTCCCAAAAAGGAAAAAAAAAGAAGGGAAAAGGAAAAGGTTTTTGGGGGAGGAAGAAGAAAAAGGGTAACGAATAAATAAGTAACCGGGTTCCTGAACGGCAGAGGTTACGGCAGTTTGTCTCTCCCCCTTCCGGGAGCCGCCTTCTTCTCCAACCGTCCCGGCCGCGCTCTCGGCGCTTCTGAGCAGCGAACTCGCTGAACGACGCTTCTTATAGATTCGCCCTCGCGTCCCCGCCCCTTCCTTTCCCGCCCTCCCTTGCGCTACGGGGCCGCCTGCGCAGGCCCGCAAGGGGTGCGAGCCAGAGTCGTGGGTAAACCCCCCGCTCGCTGGTTGGGCGACCTTTTGAAGTGACAGGGAGAGAAGAATTTTTTTCTTTAATCCCACCGCCTCTCCTCGCTGCTCCCTTTTGCACTGAGGCTTAAGGTTTGAAGACTCGAGGGTAAAATTGGGCCGCTTTCATTCTAGTTTGGACAACGGTTTCATCTTCAGCAAAAGCCTCTCATTCGTAGCCCCCCCCAGCTGGAAAATGGTCTGCTCTGCGAATCGGTAATGGCGGCGGGGCGGGGCGGGTCCTCCCGGGGAAGGGCGGTTGCTCATGAATATGCAGTTCTCTTGCTGAATATGCATGAACAAACCAAGATGGCAGGACCAGTGGCTTGTCCGGAAGTAGCCGATGTTTGTCAAACGGCCCCCGGAGACGGGTGGGCATCTCCTGGCCTGTAATGCCGCGCTGTACCGAGCCATGATCCTAGATCCATGGCCTGAGCCTCTCGAAGAGACTTCAGCTGGGAGGCCTGCTCTGGAAGGAGGGTGGCCACTGTCCGGGAGAGATCACGGGACCGCGACAATCCGAGAAAAGCAGATTAGCCATGGGGCGGGCCACGAAAGTCCTGGGGGATTTGGGGTCAAGGCATCTGAACATTAGGAAATCCTCCACTTTGTAGAATATTTCAGGAATAAAATGGGGGGCGGGGATCCCAAGGGGTTCTCCAATGAGAACGGTCGTAGGACTTTCCACTCTCCCTCCAAAGCAGAGACGACACCACTGCAAGCCACATTCAGAGTAATCCTTGTTTGATGTCAATGTCACGTCACCACCCCAAGGGGGGGGCACAAGCACGAGGAAAGGAAACCTTTGCCGTGAGGGGAGGGGTGGGGAGGCACGCTCCCCTCCCCCACCGCAGCTGCTGGCTCTGTCTTTGCCGGAACACTCCAGCCCCAATGCTCTTCTCTTTGCTGCTGAGTGAAGTCCTCCCCGTGGCCCACGGCCTCCCTGCCTCAGCCGTTTGGATCTGCTCCTCAGACTTTACCCCTTAGTTATGCCCTGATTCCAGGACCCAGCCTGGTCTCCACATCCCTTGGTCCCAGGCTGGCCCCAGGTCTTCCAGGTAGTCCCTCTCCACCAAGTCCCCAAGTCACCCTTGACTCTGAGAGGTATCCCTCTCCCACACCAGTTCTTTTCCAGTCACTTCTCCTCCCATGTTTGTCTTCAGTCTTTGCCTCTATTTATCCCTGTCCCTCCCAACCCCCGGGCTCCCAAGTTCTATCTCACTCCTCCACCTTCCCTTCCCTCTCACAGCTGAGGTTCCAGGCTGTGATGATGGCAATGCTGCCCAGCACAACCCCTGCCCCCACGATGTCAGAAGGTGCCACAGTCTCATGGAGCATATAATACTGCAGTATAAGGGCCACCACCACCTCGGAATGCAGGACAGCGCACACCAGGGCAGGGTGGGCCTTGGTGACCGCATAGCTCACACATGTGAAGGAGACCAAGGCGAGGATCCCCACTGCCCCCACACAACTCCAACTCGGGAGATCACTGGGCAACACGGGGGGCTGCAGCACAAAGAGGCCTGGCACAGAGCCCAGCAGCCCCACCAAGCCAGATAGGAAGGCCACTGTTGGGAGGCAGGAGGGAAAGTGCAGAGAACGATAGACCAGAAGCCCCAGGGACAGCGCCAGTCCTCCCACGAAAGCCTGCCCATAGCCCAGGGCGGTGTAGACACCCGTGATCCCCTCCTGTAGTGTCCAGAGTCCAGGTCCCACAATGATGATTAGTCCTAGGATGCTGCCCAACAGTCCACACCAGTCGTAGCCACTGAGACCCTGGCTCTCAAGGCAGAGGGTGAGGACGGCGGAGCAGACGGTGGAAGAACCTTTGCGAACAGTGGCAGCGTTGCCAGCGGGCACCACCTGAACCGCACTGTAGGCACATCCAATGCTGAGGACGTTGAGCAGGGCATAGAAGTAGGCCCGGCCTCGGATGTCAGGAGGTCCCAGAAGGGGGTCGCCACGCAGTTTAAGTAGCAGGGCAATAGGGAGGTGGAAGAGGCATCGACAGATGAGCAGCTCCAGCGAGGGCAGGTTGGAAGCCTGGTAAGCCATATGAGAAAGGGGGCCCACGAAGCCAGCAGGCAGGCCCCCACCCAGCAGGGCCACCAGCAGGCCATTGGTGGCATCAGAGGGCTGGCAGCACTGGTGCCAGCGGAGGCTGGGTGGAGCGGAGGGCGGCGATGGGTGTGTGGAGTCAGGCGGGTTCAAGTAGGGGTGACTGCCAGCCTGTTAGGGAGAAAGGAGCTCAGGGTAGACAGCAGCCGCAGCCCAGGCGACCTGGGGCAGGGCAGATGCCAGGATGGGGTCTGGGACCCTGTGGGACTGTACAGTGTTGGGCTATCTTGCTGAGGAACTCTTCGGAGCTAGAAAGGGCCTAAAAGATGAGTGAGATGTTATAATGTGGGCCTGGAGCAGGAAGCAAGGAGTGAGCAGTCCTGGAGCATCGTTTCCCTGGGTAAGTTGTTCCTGGGAGGAGAAAAAGGACCCAGGATGCTCTCTCGGATTGAGGAAGGGGAGGAAGCCTCAGATGCTATGCATCTGTATGATGCCACAGGTTCCAGAGACATCTGGGTACACCATTATGAATTCTATTTGTGGGTATCTCTGAGACAG
Organism: Homo sapiens; assembly: GCF_000001405.40. NCBI lineage: Eukaryota > Metazoa > Chordata > Mammalia > Primates > Hominidae > Homo > Homo sapiens. Next base: position 102,057 of record NW_016107299.1, on the reverse strand, counting down.
CTAAGTTTTAGGAAAGGAGGGGAAATGGAGCAACCAGGAGCTATAGGGAGGGAGTACTAGGCCCCTGGCCCCCACACTCACCATCTTTCCTTGGACTTTCTCCTCTCCTCCTGGCTCAGGGAGCCTGGGCCCCTCAGAGCTCCAGCCATTGTGACATGGTTGGAGTGGGGGTGGGGTTCTTCCCTGGAACTCTCCTGAGGTGGTAGCACGCCTATTTTCCCGCTGAGTCCAACTCTGCTTCTTTTCTTTCTTTCTTTCTTTTTTTGTTTGCGACGAAGTTTCCACTCTTGTTATCCAGGCTGGAGTGCAATGGTGTGATCTCATCTCACTGCAACCTCCACCTCCCAGATTCAAGCGATTCTCCTGCCTCAGCCTCCCAAGTAGCTGGGATTACAAGAATGTGCCACTACACCTGGCTAATTTTTTTTTTTTTTTTTGGGACGGAGTTTTGCTCTTCTTGCCCAGGCTGGAGTGCAGTGGTGCGTGCAATCTCGGCTCACCGCAACCTCCACCTCCTGGGTTCAAGCAATTCTCCTACCTCATCCTCCCAAGTACCTGGGATTACAGGCATGTGCCACCACACCCCGCTAATTTTTTATTTTTCGTAGAGATGGGGTTTCTCCATGTTGGCCATGCTGGTCTTGAACTCCTTACCTCAAGTGATCCACCCCACCACCCCCCGCCTCCCAAAGTGGTGGAATTACAGGCATGAGCCACCGTGCCCAGCCCAACTCTGCTTCTTTTCTATTTATGTCTCCATGACTCCAAAGTTTGTCTGATTCTTTTATTCTTTTTATGGCTAGCTCTGTGGCTTTACATTAATTTGTTTATTTATATCTTGCATGGTTTCAGAGAGGTTTTTTTGTTGTTGTTTTTTTTTTGAGACGGAGTCTGTCTCTGTCGCCCAGGCTGGAGTGCAGTGGCGAGATCTCGGCTCACTGCAAGCTCCGCCTCCCAGGTTCACGCCATTCTCCTGCCTCAGCCTCCCGAGTAGCTGGGACCACAGGCGCCCGCCACCACGCCCGGCTAATTTTTTTGTATTTTTAGTAGAGACAGGGTTTCACCGTGTTAGCCAGGATGGTCTCGATCTCCTGACCTCGTGATCCGCCCACCTCGGCCTCCCAAAGTGCTGGGATTACAGGCGTGAGCCACCGCGCCCAGCCTCAGAGAGGTTTTAAGGCAAGGAGCTGTGAACCCTGGCTCCTCCATCTCCTTAGTTTTTAATTTTCCAGCACCAGGGAGGAGTTCTTGGGATTGTCCCTGTGGAGTTTCAGGAATGTGTTTTTTCTGTGTGTGCTTCCACCTGGTGTTTTGTTGATGCTGTCCCCAGAGGCCGACACCAAGGCCTCTGCATTTATGTTCAAGTATACAGATGTGGATCTATCTGCTGGTGGGGACAAAGTACCCAGCCAGCTTCATGTGTTCATTTGCGCTGGTGGTCGTTCGTGTGTGCCCCGTATGCAGGGCCAGGGCCTTCTTTTTCCGCGGCCTGCTGAGCTTTCCTGCGCATTCCTGGAGAGGGTGTGTGTGTGTGTCCAGGGCTGGCCCTCTTTGAGTGTGCCGACCCTGGGTCTGTGAGTCCCACCGGGCCTGATTATGAGTCTGCCATGTCATGTCTGCACCCTGAGAGCCTGTGTGTTATGCTTTCAGGCAGTGTGCACCGCTGAGTGAAGGGCGTGCAGGAGGAAGGGCGGAGGGAGCCCTTTCCCTGGGGGTCGGTGGTCTTGCGCCCCTGCCGGGATGCTGCAGCCCGGCCCGCGCCCCGCTCGGTGTCCACCCGCCCGGTGGCCCAGCGCGGCGCAGTGTCATGCCGCGGGGGTCAGTCCTGGGGAAGGCCGTCGGGCGCTCGGAGCTTTGTGTCGGTGTCGGCTGCGCTGCGCCGGCCTCCTCTCGGCGGCGGCGGCGGCGGCGCTGGGGGGGGACTGTTTCCGGGGGTGGGGGTGGGGGTAGGACCGGGGCGGGGGGAGCCGATGATGTCAGCGGCGGCGGCGGCGGCGGCAGCGGGGCCGGGCCGGGGCCAGGCGCTGGGGGGGCCAGGGCCGGAGCTGGAGCCGGAGCCGGAGCTGGAGGCGGGCAAAACCGGAGCGGCCGGGGGCGGCCACGGTGATGAGCCGGGCCTGGCGGACGCGGCGCCATCGCAGTCAGGTGGGCCCTGGGGCGAACTGGGCAGGGCCAGGGCGGACCGGAGCCAACTGCCAGGCCCCCTCTCCGCTGCCCGGCGCTGCGGGAGCCCCGACCGCGCCCCGCGCCCAGACCGCTCTCCTTTGGGGTTGACCTGGGGGCGCAGGGGTCGGGGGCTGAGCCTGGCCCCGCCCCCGGGCGCGCACGACGCTGGGGGGCGACTAAGGGGGCCCTGGTATGGCGTCCGAGCGAGGGGCGGCCGTGGGACGCGATCGCCTGGGGCCGTGGAAGGGGAGGTGCTCACTCCCTCTTTGAAGGGTTAATTCTGCAGCCTAATGGCCCCCTCCCCCCGTGGGGCAGATTGGGGGTGGGGTGGGGCGGGTGTGAGCCCGGGCAAGCGCTGCAAGCTGCTGGGAGGGTGATGGCGTAGGAGCCAGGCAGAGAGGGGGAGGGGTGGGCCGCCGAGCGCCCCAGAGTTGGGGTGTGCGGGGTGCGCAGGGCGAGCTGGGGCCCCGGAACCGCCGCGCCGTCGGGGCAGGGTTGTGGCTGTGAGTCTTGGAGATCGTGTGTCTTGTGCTGTGTGGTGGGGCAAGGTAAACCTCTCCTGGGCACCACCGTTTGCTGGCAGCCAGGGGTCTGGGTAGGGCCCTCCCTGGGCCATGGAGATAGAAAGCCAGGAAGGGTGTCCAGTGTTGTGGGGCAGAGTTACAAGACGAGCCCTGTGGCTTTGGGTGACAGATGGGTATTCTGAGCAGGGCACAGCATGCTGGGTGCAGAGTTTGTTCGATGTGGGGCTGTATGTTTTCTACAGCATGTGTTTTCTCGCATGTGTGTCTTGTGCTGCACCTATGACCTGTTTATGAACTGTTTTCTGCAGAGCTGGCATGCTGTATGTGTTGCGGAGGGTGCCAGGATGCAGTGTATGTGCCCTTTTGGAGGGGGCGGTTGTGGGCCTTTGAGTCAGAAGGCGTCACGTCTGGGTCCCATTTCTGTGGCCCTGCTGAGGTGTGGTCCAGTGGTGAAGAGGGCGATGGATGGGTTTGCGTGTCTGTGATGAGCGCGTTGCATGGGGGCTGCGCGTCTAGAACTCAGATCCCAAAGATCATGAGAGGAGCGAGGAACCCCGGGGTATGTCTCAGGGGCCTGTGGGTCAGTTGGCACTGGTGTGAGGGGCTCGAGGTGGAATGCGCCAGTTGTGTTTATGGGATCATGGGCAGCCAAGCGAGGGGAAGGTTGTGTGTTTGCAACATTCTCCACAGGATTCTTTTGTGACGTTGTTTGTAGGAGCCTGTCTGGGCTGCTGAGCTGGGAGGCAAACTGGTCAGAAAACACATGTGGGGAGGGAGGTGGCGTGACAAGGGCAGTGTGGGCCTCAGACCCAAGAGGCCAGCCGCAAGCAGGCTGTGTGTGCGTGCCTGCCGTCTGTGTGCTTAAGTGGCGGTGGGGCTGCGGAGGGGATTTGGTATGAGGAAGGCGGGAGATAAATGCAGGGTAGCGCATGGAGGCCGGCGGGAGGCATGGGTGTTGTCAGATGGCCCAGCTAATCTTTGCAGGGTCTGTATGTTTGCCCCTCATGAGCCTGCCCAGCGTGTCAGGGTCACCCGGAGGAGAGGCTGGGCGGCCACAAGGGAAGTAAGCTTAGACAGAGAGGCTCCTTGGCCATGTTTATGTAAAGGCTGGGTGTGACTCTTGTCACTAAAATGGAAAAAAGAAACGTGAAGTTTTCAGCCTCCTCCTGCTTCACCCTCTCCCTCTCTCTGCCCCCCTTGTGGGTATCTCTGACGCACACTGGGCCCCACTCCTGCGACGGTGGAAGGGCCTCAGAACAGAATTCGCTCACTAGGCAGATTCCTCAGAACAGGTTTTCCTCACCTTTGGGGACTGGGCCCTTCTAGGGGTGTGTGTGCAAGTGCATTCCAAGCCTGCACACCACTGTCTACTGTGCCCGGCCCCACTGGAAGGATGTGTGTACGTGGGGGAAGGGAGGGTGCTGCGGACAGGCCCTCCGGCATGGGGGGCTGGGAAGGGGTGGCTGCCGTGGGAGCCTGCTCAACAGGTGCACAGTGACGGTCTGGTGAAGAGAAAGGAGCCATGGTCCAGGGCTGAGGAGCTCTGGCGTCTTTACCATTCCCTCACTGGCACTTGATCTGAAGGAAGCTCAGTTCCTCATCTGCAGAATGGGGCTGATTGTCTGCCCTGCGTATCTTCCAAAAGCACATGGGAAACGGACCCGGAAAGTGGCTATAGTCTGGGGGCTGTGCCTATGCCAGCCCCTGTCAGCCCTCCCCCAGGACTGGGAATTCCCTTCTTGGGGCTTCGCTGATAATAATGGCAGCACACACTTGCTTAGCACTGACCGTGCACCAGCCTGTCCTCAGGGCACTTATATGTGGCCACTCTGTCCTCAGAACAACACCCTGAAGTAGGCACTCTACCTCCCTTTTTCAAGTGAGGCAGCTGAGGTCCAGAGAAGTTAAGTAATCTGCCCCAAGTCACTTAGCTAGTAAGAGGTGAAGCTGTATTTGAACCCGGGCAATCAGGTTGAAGATCTTGTGCTCTTAACTACTGTACTCTGCTGCCTTCTGGAACATTCAGTGGATGGTCCTTTCTGTGCAACTCCCTCCAACACTCTTCTCCCCAGTTGCTGCAGAACTTAGCATTTGCAGCAGTCCATTTCAGAAGACCCGGATGCTCAGGGATCCCCAGCTGAGGGCATGAGAACCTGAGTCTCTGCTGCTGTGTAAGGTGGATGCTGGCCATAGGAGCACAAAAGGTTGATGAGTCAGAGGAAGGAATGATCGTTCTCATCCTGTGGATCAGGGAGGGCCAAGAAGGAGGTGGCCTTGGAGTCAGATCTTAACGTTTTGGAGGGATTTTGACAAGCTTGGGGAAAGAGCATTTCTGGCAGAACAAGCCAGCACAGGCAAAGGCATGAAGGTGTGGGTCATGTAGAAGCTGGAGAGCACACTGGGTGTCTGGGGTTTTGTTCATTTGTTTAGAAACTGGGTCTCAATATATTGCCCAGGCTGGACTCAAACTCCTGGGCTCAAGCAATCCTCTAGCTGCAGCCTCCTGAGTAGCTGGGACTATGGGTATCTGCCATCACGCCTGGCTCACGCTGAGTACTGTGTGTTTGAAGAGGATAACACAAGGCAAGATTAAAAAGGAAGATTGGAGCTAGACCAGAGCCCTTGACTGCCTGGTAGAAGAATTTGAACTTTCTTCTAGAGTCAGTGGGGACCAGTGGAGGTTTTGAGCCCAGGAGTGATAGTCCTGAACTGTGGTTAGGGACGTTGACCCTCAGGGGGAGGAGGGCTGGATGGAGGAAGGTAAGCCTGGAGGCCAGGGGATAGCTGGGAGGCCATAACCTTGGACCACGTGAGTGTTAACAAGGACCTGAGCTATCGAAGGGAAGATTTCCAGAGCCATTCCCAAGCTCGGCGGCGATTTCAGCCACACTTGATGACTGCTGGATGTGGAAGTGAGGGAAAGGGTGGAGTCAGACATGACACATTTAGCACTTAGCACGTGAGACCTTGTGCGGTGGTTTATGTAACCAGCTGGCGGGCCATAGGCCTCTTCAGGGCCAGGTCTAGCAGTATGGCAGAGGGAAAGATTGAGCATCTGGGGTCAGCTGGGCCTGGATTCGAATCTTGACTGCTGCTTACAAGCTGTGCGACCTCGAGTAAGGTATATCCCTCTCTGAGCCTCGGTTTCCTCTTCTGTAAAATTAGAATAATATGGCCGGGCGCAGTGGCCCATGCCTGTAATCCCAGAACTTTGGGAAGCCAAGGCAGGTGGATCACCTGAGGTCAGGAGTTCAAGACCAGCCTGGCCAACATGGAGAAACCCTGTCTCTACTAAAAATAAAAAAACTAGCTGGGCGTGGAATCCCAGCTACTCTGGAGGCTGAGGCAGGAGAATTGCTTGAACCCAGGAGACGGAGGTTGCAGTGAGCCGAGATCACGCCACTGCGCTCCAGCCTGGGCAACAGGATAATATAAAACCTATTGTGGGTGGCTGTACTGAGAATATCATTAAATGAGGTAATGTGTGTGAGGCCCCAAGAAGAGTATGAGGCAAATTGTGAGGACTCCAGAGTGGTCAACTTATTTATGGTTTCTTTTAATTTTTTTTTGAGACGGAATTTCTCTCTTGTTACCCAGGCTGGAATGCAATGGCATGATCTTGGCTCACTGCAACCTCCGCCTTCCGGGTTCAGGTGATTCTCCTGCCTCAGCCTCCCGGGTAGCTGGGGTTACAGGCGCCCGCCACTACGCCCAGCTAATTTTTTATTTTCAGTAGAGACCAAGTTTCACCATGTTGGCCAGGCTGGTCTCACCATGTTGGCTAGGCAGGTGGTCAATCCCTGACCTCAGGTGATCCACCTGCCTTGGCCTCCCAAAGTGCTGGGATTACAGGCGTGAGTTGGCCATACCTGGCCTTTTTTTTTTTTTTTTTTTTTTTTGAGGCAGAGTCTCACTCTGTCGCCCAGGCTGGAATGCAGTGGCGCAATCTCTGCTCGCTGCAACCGCCACCTCCCCGGTTCAAGCAATTCTCCTGCCTCAGCCACCTGAGTAGCTGGGGTTACAAGCGTGCACCACCACACCCAGCTAATTTTTGTATTTTTAGTACAGATGGGGTTTCATCATGTTGGCCAGGCTGGTCTGGAACTCCTGACCTCAAGTGATCTGCCCGCCTCAGCCTCCCAAAGTGCTGGGATTACAGGTGTGCGCCACTGTGCCTGGCCCAGAAGTGGTCAAGTTATAATTGTCATCCCTATCTCCAGGCCAACTCAGTCCAGCGTGGACGATGGCTTCCATCCTGGAGGATGGACTTTGAGGACAGGTTCATTCATTTACCAGTTTTTTTGTTTTGTTTTTACCACCTATTACGTGCTAGGCCCTATTCTAACGACTTCAGATACGGCAATGAACAAAGCAGACAAAATTCCCTACCCTTGGCCGGGCGCTGTGGCTCACACCTGTAATTCCAACACTTTGGGTGTCCAAGGCGGTGAATTGCTTGATCCCAGGAGTTCGAGACCAACCTGGGCAACATGGTGAAGCCCTATCTCTACTAAAAATACAAAAAATTCGCTGGGCGTGGTGGCATATGCCCGTAGTCCCAGCTACTTGGGAGGCTGTAATGAGAGAATCACCTGAGCCTAGGGGAGGTCAAGGCTGCAGGGAGCTGTGGTAACACCACTGCACTACAGCCTGGGTGACAAAGCAAGACCTCATGTCAAAAAAAAAAAAAGTCTGGCCATGGTGGCTCATGCCTGTAATTCCAGCGCTTTGGGAGGGAGGCCAAGGCGGGTGGATCACCTGAGGTCAGGAGTTCGAGACCAGCCTGGTCAACATGGTGAAACCCTGTCTCTACTAAAAATATAAAAATTAGCCGGGTGTGGTGGCATATGCCTGTAGTTCCAGGTTTTTGGGAGGCTGAGGCAGGAAAATTGCTTGAACCCAGGAGGCAGAGGTTGCAGTGAGCCGAGAGAGATCATGCCACTGCACTCCAGCCTGGGCAACAGAGCAAGATGCCATCCATCTCAAAAACAAAACAAAACCAAAAACATTCCTACCTTTTACCCCTTGGAGCTTACATTCCAGAGATAAATAAGAAATAGGAGCTGGGCGCAGTGGCTTTCCACTATGATCCCAGCACTTTGGGATGCTGAGCTGGGCGGATTGCTTGAGACCAGGATTTCAATACCAGCCCTGGGGAACATGGTGAAACCTCATCTCTACAAAAAATACAAAAATTATCTGGGCATGGTGGCAGGTACCTGTAGTCCCAGCTACTCAGAAGGCTGACAGGTGAGAGGATCATTTGAGCCCAGGAGGTTAAGGCTGCAGTGAGCCTCAATCTCACCATTGTACTGCAGCCTGGGCAACAGAGCAAGATCCTGTCTCAAAAAAAGATAAATAATTGACCAGGCTCTGTAATCCCAGCACTTTGGGAGGCTGAGGCGGGCAGATCACCTGAGGTCAGGAGTTTAAGACCAGCCAGGCCGACATGGTGAAACCCCATCTCTACTAAAAATACAAAAATTATCCGGGCCTGGCCAGGCGCGGTGGCTCATGCCTGTAATCCCTGCACTTTGGGATGCCGAAGTGGGCAGATCACAAGGTCAGGAGATGGAGACCATCCTGGCTAACATGGTGAAACCCCGTCTCTACTAAAAATACAAAAAAAAATTAGCCGGGAGTGGTGGTGGGTGCCTGTAGTCCCAGCTACTCCGGAGGCTGAGGCAGGAGAATGGCGTGAACCCGGGAGGCGGAGCTTGCAGTGAGCCAAGATCGCACCACTGCACTCCAGCCTGGGCGACAGAGCGAGACTCAGTCTCAAAAAAAAAAAAAAAAAAAATGGTGGCGCGCGCCTATAGTCCCAGTGACTCGTGAGGTTGAGGCAGGAGAATCTCTTGAACCCGGGAGGCGGAGGTTGCAGTGAGCCAAGATTGTGCCACTGCACTCCAGCCTGGGCGACAGAGCTAGACTCTGTCCCCCGCCGCAAAAAAAAAAGAGAAGCAGTTGGGCCAGTTTCAGTGGCTCATGCATGTCATCCCAGCACTTTGGGAGGCCGAGGCAGAAGGATCACTTGAGCCCAGGAGTTCGAGACCAGCCTGGCCAACATAGAGAGATCCAATCTCTACTAAAAATAAAAAATAAATTAACTGGGCATTGTGGTGTGCACCTGTGGTGCCAGCTACTAGGGACGCTGAGGTGGGAGGTCATGAGAGCCTGGGAGGTTGAGGCTGCAATGAACCATGATTGTGCCACTGCACTCCAACCTGGGCAACGGAGTGAGACCTCATCTCAAAAAAAAAAAAAAAAAAAAAAAAAGAATGGCCAGGTGCAGTGGCTCACTCCTATAATCCTGGCACTTGGAGAGGCAGAGGCGGGCAGATCACTTAAGGTCAGGAGTTCAAAACCAGCCTTGCCAGCATGGTGAAACCCCACCTCTACTAAAAATACAAAAAAATTAGCCAGGCTGGGCGCGGTGGCTCATGCCTGTAATCCCAGCCCTTTGGGAGGCCAAGGCAGGTGGATCACGAGGTTGGGATTTCAAGAACAGCCTGGCCAAGATGGTGAAACCTCGTCTCTACTAAAAATACAAAAATTAGCCGGACGTGGTGGCAGGCGCCTGTAATCCCAGCTACTCGGGAGGCAGAGGCAGGAGAATCGCTTGAACCCAGGAGGCGGAGGTTGCAGTGAGCCCAGATCGCACCACTGCACTCCAGCCTGGGCGACAGAGCTGGACTGTGTCTCAAAAAAAAAAAAGAAAAAGTGTTACTAAGTGCCAAGGAGCAAAATAAAGTAGGGTCGGGAGATAGGAAGTTTTAGAAGGTGGGGAGTGGCCAGGGAAGGCCTCAGGGGAAGGTGGCTTCTAAGTCAAGGCTTAAAGGAAGTTGGGGTTCACTGCATGAGGCTATCTGGAGGAAAGAACATTCCAGCCAGAGGGAACCGCAAGATGTAGGGCGTCTCTGGTGTCCATGCTCAGATCCCCACCTCAGTGGCACATCTGAGGTCACACAGGCACTGAAGAGTAGAGAAATGGTAAGAACAAACAAATAAAAAACTCTAAAACCACAGAGCCACCAAACCTACCAGGAAGCCCAATTTGTGCCTTTTTTTCTTCACTACTTCTCCCCACCATTTTCCAGGACTGAGTTCTACAAACTAAATATTGCCAGTTGTTAGCTCATTTAATCTTTACAACAACCCCACAAGGTAGGAACTATTAATTGTCCCCACCGTATGGACAAAGAAACAGATACAGAGAGGTTAAGTAACCTGCCTGGGGTCACATAGCTAGTCTTTTCCACTTCCTATAAGGCCTTGCAGGGCAGTAGCCAGGATAGGGCAGTTTAACTCAAGCTGCGTCCAAACGCTGGGTTGGCTAGCAACAAAACCAGAGGCAAATAACCCCATCACTACCTACCTTCTACCTGAAAGGGAGGAGTTTAGAGTATTTGATTTCTCTAAGCCTGTTGTCTCACTGGCCATTTTGAGTGTTGAAATGAGATGATACAGATAAAATGCTTAGCATTATACTTTGCACATCATAAGTATTTCAAGCCTGGGCAACGTGGCAAGACCCCATCTCTACAAAAGTAAATAAATAAATTAGCCAGGCATTGTGACATAAGCCTATGGTCCCAGATACTCCGGAGGCTGAGGCAGGAGGATCATTTGATTCCAGGAGGTCCAGGCTGCAGTGAGCAATGTTCACACCACTGCACTCCAGCTTGGGCAACAGAATGAGACCCTGTCTCAAAAAAAAAAAATTTTTTTCATAAATGGCAGCTACAGAGACCATGATGACAATGATTGTGTGTGATCTTAAGGGCCAGTCCAGCATTGGGTGTCTCTAGTTCTAAGAAGCCCTGACAGGTCTCGTCCAAGTACTGTGGTAGTCAGCACACGGTCACACATGCATAGCCCACCACATATGGTTGTGCAGGTTGGCAGGCCCAGCCAGTGGGGTGAATGGGGACTGGAGGCAAAGCTTGACTTTGCCCACCTACACAGGGCTGCTACCTCCTGGAGGAAAGAACCTTGCTTCTAATTTTCAGAAAGGCACCCAGGTAGGATATTTGTGCCCTAGTGGGTGCCATAAACACGTCCTTCGTTAATATATGGTGAAGTCATCAGGAACACAGGCTTTGGAGCCAAACTTCCTGGGATCAGATCCCAGCCCTGCTACTAGCTGGTCATACGTCCTTGGGCCAGCTACCTAGCATTGATAAGCCATAATCTGACATTTTATTTATTTATTTTGAGACGAAGTTTCATTCTTGTTGCCCAAGCTGGAGTGCAATGGTGCAATCTCGGCTCACTGCAACCTTTGCCTCCTGGGTTCAAGTGATTCTCCTGCCTCAGCCTCCTGAGTAGCTGGGATTATAGGTGCCCACCTCCATGCCCTGCTAATTTTTTATATTTTAAGTAGAGACGGTGTTTCACCATGTTGGCCAGGCTGGTCTCGAGCTCCTGAACTTCAGGTGATCCATCCACCTCGGCCTCCCAAAGTGCTGGGATTACAGGCATGAGCCACCATGCCCAGCCTATTTTATTTTTTTGAGGCAGGGTCTTGTTCTGTCACTCAGGCTGGAGTACAGTGGCATAATCATAACTCACTGCAGCCTTGAACTCCTGGGCTTAAGGGATGCTCCCACCTCAGCCTCCTGAGTAGCTGGAACTATAGGTGCACACCACCACACCTGGCTAATTTTTGTATTTTTTGTAGAGACCAGGTTTCTCCATCTTGCCCAGGCTGGTCTCGAACTCCTGAGCTCAAGGGATCCACCTGCCTCAGCCTTCCAAAGTGCTGGGATTACAAGTGTGAGCCACTGCACCCAGCCCATGGTCTGTCATTTTATTTATTTATTTATTTTTTGAGACAGAGTCTCGTTCTGTCACCAGGCTGGAGTGCAGTGACGCAATCTCGGCTCACTGCAACCTCCGCCTCCCGGATTCAAGTGATTCTCCTGCCCCAGCCTACCGAGTAGCTGGGACTACAGGTGCCTGCCACCACGTCCGGCTAATTTTTGTATTTTCAGTAGAGAGAGGGTTTCACCATGTTTTTCAGGATGGTCTCAATCTCTTGACCTCGCGATCCACCCGCCTCTGCCTCCCAAACTGCTAGGATTACAGGTGTGAGCCACCGTGCCCGGCCTATTTTTTATTTATTTTTATTTTTATTTTTTGAGACAGAGTCTCACTCTGTCACCCAGCCTGGATTGATCTCCATCCAGCGCGATCTCGGCTCACTGCAGCCTCTACTTCCTGGGTTCCAGCAATTCTCCTACCTCAGCCTCCCAAGTATCTGGGATTACAGACACCCACCACCATGCCTGGCTAATTTTTTTTTTATTATTATTTTTAGTAGAGATCGCCACATTGGCCAGGCTGGTCTAGAACTCCTGACCTCAGATGATCCGCCCGCCTTGGCCTCCCAAAGTGCTGGGATTACGGGCATGAGCCACCGTGCCCGGCCTTAAAGAGGGAAAGTGGCCAGGCATGGAGGCTCACGCCCATAATCCCAGCACTTTGGGAGGCCTAGGTAGGCAGGTCACAAGGTCAGGAGATCAAGATTACCCTGGCTAACACGGTGAAACCCTGTCTCTACTAAAAATACAAAAAATTAGCCAGGCATGGCGGCGGACGCCTGTAATCCCAGCTACTCAAGAAGCTGAGGCTGGAGAATCGCTTGAACCTAGGAGGCGGGGGTTGCAGTGAGCTGAGATTGCACCACTGCATTCCAGTCTGGGCGCAGAGCGAGACTCCATCTCAAAACAAATAAATAAAATTTAAAAGGAGGGAAAGCTAACTGCTACCTTTCAGGGTAGTGATAAGGAACAAATGAGGTAATCCAAATAAAACACTGACTCTTGGGGTCCCGGTGAGCCAGTGGTTCTCATGGAGGCGAGTAGGAGGCCTGGGCATCAGCCTGTGAATGCAGTGAGGCCCCTTCCGCAGGATGCCTGACCTACGACCTACCTGAAATTCACCAACTGACAGGGCAACACTTGACCCAGAACCTCATCAGTCCCTGGCAGACAGGGTTGTTAAAACTTTGGAATATCATCCCTGTTTACCATCTTCCTTCTTCCCATCCAGGAGAGGTGTCAGGAAAATATTTTGGGGGATGTGAAATGGGGTATATGTGGGGAAAAGGCCTTTGAGTCCAGACAGTATGAGTGATAAATGGGAAAGAAGATTTTTCAGGGGATGGGAATTGTATGAGGAACTCCTGATGCCGGACACCTCTGAAGACACGTGGCCCACGGCATACGGAAGGACACCCTCAAAGATGGGTGACAGCTCCCAGGCTTTGTGGAGGGCAGAGGAGAGGGTCCGGAGAGCTCTGCTCTCAAGTCTGCGGGCCTGGATCTCTAAATAGGTGCCGCCTGTCATTACCAGCGCTGTGTGACTTTGGATAAGTCTGGCTTTTGAACTCAAACCTTCAACTGAAAAGAGTCTTCAAGGCCCTGATGGTGCCTGCAGGGGAAGGTGGCTGCGCGGTGCTTTCTCTGCTGCTGACTGCCTGAGCTTGCGTTTCAGTTGTCTGCTCTTCCCTTTGTTTTTTGGGGGGTTTTTTTTTGAGACGGAGTTTTGCTCTTGTTGCCCAGGCTGGAGTGCAGTGGCGTGACCTCGTCTCACTGCAACCTCCAGCTCCCAGGTTCAAGTGATTCTCCTGCCTCAGCCTCCCAAGTAGCTGGGATTACAGGCACGTGCCACCACGCCCGGCTAATTTTTTGTATTTTTAGTAGAGATGTGGGTTTCACCATGTTGGTCAGGCTGGTCTTGAACTCCTGACCTCAGGTGATCCACCCCTCTTGGCCTCCCAAACTGCTGGGATTACGGGCGTGAGCCCCCGCGCCTGGCCTTGCTCTTCCCTCTGGACGAGTCTCCCAGCAAGAGGTGAGGTAGGAGTTGTGATTCTGCCGCTTTTTAAGTCCAGATCCCTAGGGCATCAGGTCTCTGAGTAAGGCGTGGGACCAGGCCTCCTGGTCTTGTGGCCTTTCCAGTGCCCTCCAGAGGCTGGAGCAAGCTGGCAGTTGTGTATGGGTCAGTGGTCTTCAATGGTTGCCTGGCAGCTGCGCCAGAAACCCCCTTCTAAGATTTATGGGGCTGGAAGGATGTGAGGATGTCCTCTCCTAATTTGAATATCTACCAGCTTAGGTCCAATTTTTAAAAACTCACAAATTATTTTGATATGTAAATGAGACCATTGTGATAAATGACAACATGCAAATCTTTGACTTCCTCTGAGCCCTGGAGATTGGGCCAAAGGGACTTGAGAGTGCTGTGACAGGCTTCCCTGAACCTATGGACTGGACCTGTGCTACTATATTGTTTGGAGGTGAATTGGGAATATGCAAATTATCTTGTCACTGTACTTCTCTGGGCCCGCAGAACAAGGCTCTGCAATAATCTGCGTGACCTCCCAGGTTTGACTGGACACAGCTAAACAAATAACCTGGCAGAGGCTCCGGGGAGGGGTCTGGGCTCACCCAGGTGTCCTCTCTGGCCACAGTACTGCACCCCTCCCCACTTCCTGGGGGCTTTTCCTCTCACTTCCCTCCTTGAGGACCCTCTTCTGCTCCTCCTCTAGGTTCCCCTGACATAATTTCTGTTTCTCCGCAGAAGGAAGAGGCCCAGCAGAAGGGACTCGCTGAGCCACCCCCCGCCCCACTCCATGTTGGCTGTGCTCTCAGGTGAGAAGGTACCCAGAGGCCTACAGTGAGGACAAAGTAGACCCAAGGCAGCAGGCCAGCAGGGGCGGCCATTTTGTCTAGGCTGGGGAGTTCTGTGAAATGGCTATCAGGAGTTGTGGAGCTTCCTCCTCCTTCCCATGAGAGAGATTTGCCTCACTTACATCTCTAGTCTGTGACTTCAGAGGTCATGACCCCTTGACCTTCACCATGACCTGAGGTATCTCTGGCCTCTTCCAGCCTCAGAAGTGAGTTAGACATACTGGTCTTGGATGCTGGCCAGACTTGGGTGGCTAAGGGCCAACCCCTGACTTCTGTGACCAGAAGTGATTCAGCCTTCCACTAGTTTCTGACCAGCAGCTCCTGATCCTCTCTCTGCCTGATTTTAGAAGCCCCTGCCCTCTGCCCAGCCTCTGAGACTCTACCCGGCCTCTTCTCCCACTGTCTAGGCTGGCACCATGCCCCCCCCTGCAGAGGTGACGGACCCGTCCCATGCCCCCGCCGTCCTGCGCCAGCTCAATGAACAGCGGCTCCGTGGCCTCTTCTGTGACGTCACCCTCATAGCCGGAGACACCAAGTTCCCTGCTCACCGCAGCGTCCTGGCTGCTTCAAGTCCCTTCTTCAGAGAGGCCCTGCTCACTTCAGCCCCACTACCCCTTCCACCAGCTACTGGGGGCGCCGCACCCAACCCTGCCACCACCACAGCTGCCTCTTCCTCCTCCTCCTCTTCCTCGTCTTCTTCCTCTTCTTCCTCCTCTGCTTCTTCTTCTTCTTCCTCTTCCTCTTCCTCTCCCCCTCCAGCCTCTCCCCCTGCTTCTTCCCCACCCCGGGTCCTGGAGTTGCCAGGAGTCCCAGCAGCTGCGTTTTCTGATGTCCTCAACTTCATCTACAGCGCCCGGCTCGCACTGCCTGGTGGTGGAGGGGACGGGGCAGCTGTAGCAGAGATTGGAGCTTTGGGGCGCCGTCTGGGCATCTCCCGCCTTCAGGGCCTGGGGGAGGGAGGTGATGCCTGGGTACCTCCTACCCCAGCCCCCATGGCCACCTCGCAGCCTGAAGAGGACAGCTTTGGGCCCGGGCCCAGGCCAGCTGGGGAGTGGGAGGGTGACAGGGCTGAGGCCCAGGCCCCTGACTTGCAGTGCTCCCTGCCCCGGCGGCCCCTCCCCTGCCCCCAGTGTGGAAAAAGCTTCATCCATCCCAAACGGCTGCAGACCCATGAGGCCCAGTGCCGACGAGGGGCCAGCACGCGGGGGTCTACAGGGCTGGGAGCTGGGGGCGCTGGCCCTGGTGGTCCTGCAGGGGTGGACGCCTCAGCCCTGCCTCCACCAGTGGGCTTCCGAGGGGGCCCCGAGCACGTGGTGAAGGTGGTGGGCGGCCACGTGCTGTATGTGTGCGCGGCCTGCGAGCGTTCCTACGTGACCCTGTCCAGTCTGAAGAGACACAGCAATGTACACTCGTGGCGGAGGAAGTACCCCTGCCGCTATTGTGAGAAAGTGTTTGCTCTGGCGGAGTACCGCACGAAGCATGAAGTGTGGCACACGGGGGAGCGCAGGTGAGTGATCCAGGCTGGCGGGGGAGCGGCTGGAGGCTGGCACTCAGCGGTCATAGGAACAAGGGCGGCAGTGGGTGGGGCTTGGGGCCTAGAAAGTTATCCTGAAACTAGGCTAGCTGCAGTAATCCCAGCACTGTGGTTAGCTGAGGTGGGAGGATCGCTTGTGGCCAGGAGTCTGGGACGAGCCTGGACAACATAGAGACCCCATCTCTACAAACAATTTTTTTTTCTTTTTTTTTTTTTTTTTGAGACAGAGCCTCTCTCTGTAGCCCAGGCTGGAGTGCAGTGGTGCCTTCTCGGCTCACTGCCACCTCCGCCTCCCAGGTCCCAGTTCAAGCAATTCTGCCTCAGCCTCCCGAATAGCTGGGATTACAGGCATGCGCCACCATGCCCAGCTAATTTTTTTTTGTATTTTTAGTAGAGTCAGGGTTTCATCATGTTGGTCAGGATGGTCTTGAACTCCTGACCTCGTGATCTGCCCGCCTTGGCCTCCCAAAGTGCTGGGATTACAGGCGTGAGCCACCACACCTGGCATTTTTTTTATTTTTTTTTTTTGAGACAGAGTCTCGCCCTGTTGCCCAGGCTGGAGTGCAGTGGCGTGATCTCGGCTCACTGCAAGCTCCACTTCCCAGGTTCACGCCATTCTCCTGCCTCAGCCTCCCGAGTAGCTGGGACTACAGGCGCCCGCCATCACGCCCGGCTAATTTTTTGTATTTTTAGTAGAGACGGGGTTTCACCGTGTTAGCCAGTATGGTCTCGATTTCCTGACCTTGTGATCCACCCGCCTTGGCCTCCCAAAGTGCTGAGATTACAGGCATGAGCCACCGCGCCCGGCGGCATTTTTTTTTTTTTAAGACGGCATTTTTTTTTTTTAAGACCGAGTCTCGCTCTGTCCCCCAGGCTGGAGTGCAGTGGCGCAATCTCAGCTCAGTGCAACCTCTACCTCCTGGGTTCAAGCGATTCTCCTGCCTCAGCTTCCCGAGTATCTGGGATTACAGGTGCGCGCCACCACGCCCAGCTAATTTTTGTATTTTTAGTAGAGACAGGGTTTCACCATGTTGGCCAAGCTGTTCTTGAACTCCTGACCTCAGGTGATTCGCCAACCTCAGCCTCCCAAAGTGCTGGGAGTACAGGGATGAGCCACTGCGCTCAGCCTCTACAAGCAATTTGAGAATTTAAAAAAAAAGCCATCCTGAGGCCCCTGCTCACCACCACTCACCGGTCTGCCTCCCTCCAGCCCCAGTTCCTTCAGCTGAGGTTTTTTTTTTTTTTTTTTTTTCTTTTTTTGACAGAGTCTCACTCTGTCGCCCAGGCGGGAGTGCAGTGGTGCAATCTTGGCTCACTGCAACCTCACCTCCAGGGTTCATCAGCTGAGGTTTGTTAGGGCCTCTTTGTGCCATGTCCTGGCTTGCTGCTGTGGGGAAGGCCTAGAAGGAAAGAGAAAACTCCCCTCACCAGAAAGGACTGTGGCAGCACAGGCATGTCCGGGAGTCATTACACTATTCCGAGCAGGGCCTTGTGTTTCCACGTGGTGTCCCTGTTCGTAAGTCGTTTCCCCATTCTGCCATTTGGGCTTGAGAAGAAGGCTCCGTGAGTTAGGCTGCGTCCCAGATGGAATAGCTGAGGCCTAGAGTCTCACAGCCAGTGGAGGCACTGAGCTCAGACGGGCACCCTGCACTGAGGCTGGCCTGGTGAGGGAGGCAGCACAAGGCTACGGGAGTCACAGGTTTGAGTGCAGGGTGTAGGAGGACCTGGGAGGCTTCAGGGCCCTTGACTCAAGTGCCTGTGTTCCTGCCCTATTCCCTGCTGTCCTGACCCAGGTACCAGTGCATCTTCTGTTGGGAGACCTTTGTCACTTACTATAACCTGAAGACCCACCAGCGAGCCTTCCACGGCATTAGCCCGGGCCTCCTTGCCAGTGAGAAGACACCCAATGGAGGCTACAAGCCCAAGCTCAATACACTCAAGCTCTACCGCCTGCTCCCCATGCGGGCAGCCAAGCGGCCCTACAAGACCTACAGCCAGGGAGCCCCGGAGGCTCCCCTTTCTCCAACCCTCAACACACCGGCCCCTGTGGCAATGCCAGCCAGCCCGCCGCCTGGGCCTCCACCTGCCCCAGAGCCTGGCCCTCCACCCTCTGTCATCACTTTTGCCCACCCAGCCCCCTCTGTCATTGTCCATGGGGGCAGTAGCAGTGGTGGAGGGGGGAGTGGGACGGCCAGCACAGGAGGGTCCCAAGCTGCCTCGGTTATCACTTACACTGCTCCCCCGAGGCCACCCAAGAAACGAGAATACCCACCTCCTCCCCCTGAGCCTGCAGCCACACCCACCAGCCCAGCCACAGCAGTCAGCCCAGCCACCGCTGCAGGGCCAGCCATGGCCACCACCACGGAGGAGGCCAAGGGCCGGAATCCACGGGCTGGAAGGACTCTGACTTACACAGCCAAGCCAGTGGGCGGGATTGGTGGAGGTGGGGGTCCCCCCACAGGGGCTGGCCGGGGCCCCTCTCAGCTGCAGGCTCCACCTCCACTGTGTCAGATCACTGTGCGAATAGGGGAGGAGGCCATCGTCAAGCGCCGCATCTCAGAGACTGACCTGCGTCCTGGGGAGCTGAGCGGAGAGGAGATGGAGGAGAGTGAGGAGGACGAAGAGGAGGAGGACGAAGAGGAGGAGGAGGAGGATGAGGAGGAATCAAAGGCTGGTGGGGAGGACCAGCTCTGGAGGCCCTACTACTCCTACAAGCCTAAGCGCAAGGCTGGAGCTGCTGGAGGTGCCAGTGTGGGGGGCAGTGGGCTGCCCCGAGGCCGCCGGCCACCACGTTGGAGGCAGAAGCTGGAACGGAGGAGCTGGGAGGAAACCCCAGCGGCCGAGAGCCCAGCGGGACGTGCCCGCACAGAGCGGAGGCACCGATGCGGGGACTGTGCCCAGACCTTCACCACCCTGAGAAAGCTGCGGAAGCACCAAGAGGCCCACGGTGGGGGCTCCCACAGCTCCCGGGCCGGACGGAGGCCCTCCACCCGCTTTACCTGCCCCCACTGCGCCAAGGTGTGCAAGACCGCAGCTGCCCTGAGCCGCCACGGGCAGAGGCATGCTGCTGAGCGGCCCGGGGGCACCCCAACCCCTGTCATTGCCTATTCCAAGGGCAGCGCTGGCACCAGGCCCGGGGATGTCAAGGAGGAAGCCCCCCAAGAGATGCAAGTCTCCTCATCCAGCGGTGAGGCAGGTGGCGGGAGCACTGCTGCTGAGGAAGCTTCCGAGACCGCCTCACTCCAGGACCCTATCATTTCAGGGGGTGAGGAGCCCCCAGTAGTGGCAAGCGGGGGCAGCTATGTATACCCACCTGTGCAGGAATTTCCACTGG
The DNA here is from genome assembly GCF_000001405.40 of Homo sapiens. Classification (NCBI taxonomy): domain Eukaryota; kingdom Metazoa; phylum Chordata; class Mammalia; order Primates; family Hominidae; genus Homo; species Homo sapiens. The sequence continues at coordinate 82,806 of NW_016107299.1, read as the reverse complement.
CCTTGATTGGGGGCGGCCGGGAACCTGGCGGTGGCAGGGGAAAATCTGGGAGTGAAGGGCCAGTGGGGGCTGGTGAGGGGGACCGGATGGAGGGGATAGGGGCTGCCAAAGTCACTTTCTACCCTGAGCCCTACCCGCTCGTCTATGGCCCCCAGCTCCTTGCCGCCTACCCTTACAACTTCAGTAACTTGGCCGCTCTCCCGGTTGCTCTCAACATGGTCCTACCTGATGAGAAGGGTGCGGGGGCCCTTCCCTTCCTACCAGGGGTCTTTGGCTACGCAGTGAATCCTCAAGCAGCACCCCCTGCCCCACCAACACCACCTCCCCCAACTCTTCCTCCACCAATTCCCCCTAAGGGAGAAGGGGAAAGGGCAGGGGTTGAGAGAACCCAGAAGGGCGATGTGGGGTGAACCCTGGGGCTCAATCCCCCTTTCACCAGATGCCACCCTCCCTGAACCCCCCACCACTACCAGCTCCCTGGCCTCCCTGCCCCTTGGGAGCCCCTTCACACTCTTGTGCAGGGACTTGGGGGCCCCTGGAGCTCAGGGGTCAGGCTGCTTTGTGTGAGATGTAGTTTTCCCATCTCCTGGGAAGGGATCTTTCGAGGTTCCCCTCTCAGTCTTCCTCCAGGGAATGGCCTCCATGAGGGGCAGGGCCAGCTTCCATCCCTTCTCCAGCCCTTGGGGCAACTGAGCAATATACTTAACCTGAATCTCTACTCACAGCCCCCACCAGCTCTGAATGTCTAACCTGCTCCCCTGATTCGTAAACCTAGGGGAAACCATCTCTCTCACCTAATGACCCGCCTTGTTCTGAAGCTTTCTCTAAGCCCTTCCCAGTTGCTTCCTAGCACATTCCATTCTTTGTGGCCCAGGGCCTGGACCAGACCATTGTGATACCTGACCCCGCCCACCTGGGAGTGTGGCTTTGGGTTTCATCCTTCCCCAGCGTGGGTCTCTACGTCCCTGTTTCCCTTGTATCAAGACACCTTCCTCAGCTTCCATGCCTTTGGATCTTCCATGTTCCTCCCCATATTCCTGGACTTCGGAGATGGCCTCTCCCAAGCCAGGTCAAGGAGGTTTGGGGGAGGGTTGCCCCTCTGCCCCTCTGTTCTGTGGCTGAGCACTTTCCCAGTCCAGGGCAGGGAAATATTGGCCCTATCTTGACCCCCAAATCCAGTGAGCTCCAGATTCTTCCAAGGCAAAAGAGGTAAGCAGATCACACCTCTTTCTGCCTCTACATATGGCCTATTCTGGGCTAGACCAGATTTGGGGGCCAGGAGGGAAGAACTCCATATGGGATGGAGAAGGGAATCTACTTTCTCCCTGTTTTTTTTTCCTGATGGTTTCTCCCAGACTAGACCAAATAGCCAGAAAAATGATAGGGGTCGGATGGGTGGGTAAGCCCAGGATTTGCACATGACCTTCCATCCTTACCTGTATTCCCATCTCCCCAGTGTCACTCCCCTCACCAATCACTCCAGATGGTTTTGGGGGAACCATTCTACTCTTCTGGTGGGCTTTGGGGTATCCCCACCAACTTTCCCTTCAAAATAGCACCTTACACCCCATCTTTGACTCAGTTCCCCACACCCAAAGATCCCAGCCTAGGGATGGGGTACAGGGACTTTAAATAGTCCCTAATCCCTAATTTGCACTAGTTAACCCTGGTCAGGGTCCCTGTATTTCCTTCCAGTGGGGGAGATAAATGTTTGCTCCTAATTCTCTTTGAAAACTGGGCCTCCCTGCTCTGTGATTGGATAAATATTTCCCATCCCACCCACCTCCCCCCAAAAAATAGCTCACAAGGGGAGAGCCAGTATGGGGGAGCAAATTTGACAAATGGGAATTAGAGGAGTGCAGTTTTAAAAGGAAAAGTTGCTGTCATCAAAATGGCAGCCTTTTCCCCAGCTACTGTTTTTGGGGCCAAGATGGCTGCCCTAGCAGCAATCACTGCCAAGGGCAAGATCATGGCTTTTGGAGGGAGGTGAGTTTAGGGAGGGCCAGGACCATCCTCCTACCCCTCATACCCTCCCAGCATATACAAAAGGGGAGGTTTTAGACAGGCTCCCTGAATGTTAACCACAGAGGAGTCACTCCTTCATTCCTCCTCTGTCTCTTTGCACTTTTCTTGGTCTTGGCCACAGCCTGAGTGACGAATTTCCTACTGAATGTACCAAGTTCCAATTTTTAAGGGGGGGAAAGGTTTCAAATGGGGAAAAACACACAAAAAAAAAAATCACTAAAAATTCCCACAAATCTTGTTTCTGGCACTTTAGAAAAACTGCAAAAAAATACGTAATAAAGAATACATATATATATATCTACACACAAATTATATATCTATCTATCTATACAGCGGAACCACAAGAGAGACTGAGGAAGGCCTGGAGGCAGGGGCAGAGGTGACGACAGTGCCCCTATATCCTTAACCCATACTCCTCTGAGGCAAACAGGCATGGGAAAATGGAAGGGTTGAGGATGGACCGGAGAATTGGAACTTCAGAATAGGTCAAAATTCCAAAACCATGGACATTTTTTTTTGGGAGAATTGAGATTGTAGACATTTTTTTTTTCTTAAATATGATCAAGGAAAATAGCTTCCAGAATGTGGTGGTTCTGGGCAACAAATGAGATTGTGGCGACGTGGAGATTAAAATATATGTATTTGAGCTGGGGAATTTGAATATTGTGAGTTTCAGATGTTGGAAATTTGGGATTTTGCAGTTTTGTCTTTTGAAAATGATCAAGTCTTGTCAGTTCGTGCCCTCTTTCCCCATGTTCCCTGGGAAGACGGGTGGTGGCAGAGTGAGAAGGCCACTGGTTCTGTGCCGCAGCACGCAAAATTTAGAATTCTACAGACTAGCTCTATACGTAGTGAGGACCCAGATTTAGAGAAACTGACCAATATTTATCTCCGCATTTGTGTGTGTGTCCAACTCTGTAGGCCAATAAACCAACAAGACAAATGAACTGTGCTCCACAGTGGGATGCCAGGTGCAATTATTTGCGTGGCTGGTGGGTCTGGGGGAAAGGAACATGCTAACTTTGTCCCACAAGGATCCCTGTGAGTTGTGGCCCAATGCTCCCTGTTTGGACGCAACTTCCAGCAGTTGAGTAGTTGAGTGAGGGCTTGTTGACTGTAGGCTCAAGCTGACTTTGGCCCAACATCCAGCCAGAAATATTAACAGTCTAGTTCATACAACCTGCTGGGCGCGAGATCTCTATGTCCAAAATGGCCCTGCCTTAAACCAGGTCTAACCTTCCTTCCAAATTGAAAGAAAACTGAGGCATAAAATGTGTGATGGCCATAAGAGACACAACCTTTCTTTTTCCACTTGTGGCTTCCCCATTGGCTTCAATTCGTTGCCCCCTGTATCTTTTCTAGTGTTACGGAGGGATGGGCAGGTAAACTAAGTGACGTGGGTCAGGTTTACAGGGGCTTTGAGGAATTATGGTATGAATAACTTGACCAGAGTGGCAGCCACTAAGCTCTACACAAGTTGTTGCCAACAGGGGAATCAGGCCTGGTGTTACTATAGTTTTTTGTTGTTGTTGTTGTTTGAGATGGAGTTTCGCTCTTGTTGCCCAGGCTGGAGTGCAGTGGCACGATCTTGGCTCGCTGCAACCTCCACCTCCCAGGTTCAAGCGATTCTCCTGCCTCAGGCTCCTGAGTAGCTGGGATTACAGGTGCACGCCACCACATCCAGCTAATTTTTGTATTTTTAGTAGAGACGGGGTTTCAGCATGTTGGTCAGGCTGGTTTCGAACTCCTGACTTCGTGATCTGCCTGCTTCAGCCTCCCAAAGTGCTGGGATTACAGGCATAAACCACCACGCCCGGACTACTATAGTTTTTAAAATTATCTTTGAGGCTGGGTGTGATGGCTCATACCTGTAATCCCAGCATTTTGGGAGGCCAAGGCAGGTGGATCACTTGAGCTCAGAAGTTCAAGACCAGCCTGGGCAACATAGTGAGACCCTGTCTCTATAGTTTTTTTTTAAATAAGATTATTTTCAAGAGAAGCCAGGAAGCCAAATTTCTCATGAAATATCCACATTTTAAAAGCAGTGAACTAGTAGCCAGGCGTGATGGCTCACGCCTGTAATCCCAGCACTTTGGGAGGCCGAGGCGGGCAGATCACGAGGTCAGGAGTTCTAGACCAGCCTGGCCAACATAGTGAAACCCCATCTCTACTAAAAGTACAAAAATTAGCTGGGCATGGTGGTGTGGGTCTGCAGTCCCAGGTACTCAGGAGGCTGAGCCAGGAGAATCACTTGAACCCGGGAGGCAGAGGTTGTGGTGAGCCGAGGTCCCGCCACTGCACTCCAGCCTGGGCAACACAGCGAGACTCTGTCTTGAAAAAAAATAAAAAATAAAAGTAGTGAACTAGTTCAAATTTAAAACTGTGCAGGCCAAACAAAAAACACACCGTTGCAACCTCTGATACATATCGCATAGTGCTTTTTTCCCATCTCCTGTGATCCCCAGACAATCCTATAGGGCATATGCTATCATTAGTTTCATTTTACAGATGTCGAAACAAGTACAGAGCAAGCTAGTGGCTTGTGTGAGCACCAAGGTTGGAACTTGAATGAAGGCCTTCAAAACGCTTGTTTTTTCTCATTACCAATGCATGCTTGTAGAAATAACTTTTTTTAATCCCAGAGATAGTACACATTACAAAACATAATAAATTACAGAAAGGTAAAAAGAAAACGACCACAAGACCCAACATGCAAACAATAAGCACTACTTTATTTCTATTTTTATTTTTTTAGAGACAGGGTCTCACTATGTTGCCCAGGCTGGTCTCAAACTGTGGGTTTCAAGTAATCCTCCCACCTCAGCCTCCTAAGTCACTGGGATTACTGGCCTGAGCGACCATGCCCAGCTTATAAACATTATTAATTGCTGTATTTACTTCCGGAAATTTCTTTCCCCTATTCAACAAATGTTAAGCACTTACTATAGGTCAGCACCTGTGCGTGGCACTGGGCATGCTGCAGTGAACAAGACACTTTTTTTTTTTTGAGATGGAGTTTCGCTCTTGTTGCCCAGGCTGGAGTGCAATGGCGTGATCTTGACTCACTGCAACCTCTGCCTCCCGGGTTCGAGTGATTCTCCTGCCTCAGCCTCCCTAGTAGCTGGGATTACAGGCATGTACCACCACACCTGGCTAATTTTGTATTTTTAGTAGAGACAGGGTTTCTCCATGTTGGTCGGGCTGGTCTCAAACTCCCGACCTCAGGTGATCCGCCCGCCTTGGCCTCCCAAAGTGCTGGGATTACAGGCGTGAGCCACCGCGCCCGGCCAAGTCACATTTCTTGACCTCATAAGGCTTATAATCTAGTTCCTGTTCTGTGTTCTATTTCACTGGCGACCTAGGTGTTGATACCCAAAAGAGCTTCTTCAAGATCCCAAAGAGTAAATCAGATGATACTGCATTTCAGGTGGGTCCAAGACACCTGCCTACCCAGCCCTCAGTCCAATGCAGTCCCCAGAAACGAAATAAGAGGCCCAGATTCCTCGTGAAGGAGTTAAGAGGCAGAGAAGGATAGGGCTTGACAGTATCACCAAACTCTCACTTCAACTGGCAGGGGGCCTGGGTCTCAACCCTCCAGTCTTCAAGGAAAGGGGTCTGGAGGGGGCAAGTGGTACGTGGCGTCCAGGAAGATGACTAGGGTCCCAACGCTGGTGAAGATGATGAAAGTCCACAGGAAGAGGCGGTCCACTACCATGGCCACAAACTGCCAGTCCTCCTTCAGCTGTGGGTAGGCAAAGGAAACTTCCTGAGCTCTGGGCCCAGACCCCCAGGGAAACCCCCCCATTTCCCCGCCCGCTACCCGCTTGAGTCCTCCTACCACTGGTTTGAGGCAACAGCCGGCAGCGCCAACAGGAGAGCGAGACTGCAGGCAATGCATGGGCATAAAGAACCAGTAGGTAAGCAGGGGGTGGGACCAAATGAGGGAGAGGTCCAATCAGAAACGAAAGCGAGGCCGGGCGCGGTGGCTCACGCCTGTAATCCCAGCACTTTGGGAGGCCGAAGCGAGCGGATCACCTGAGGTCAGGAGTTTCAGACCAGCCTGGCCAACATGGTGAAGCCACGTCTCTACTAAAAATACAAAAATTAGCCAGGCGTGGTGGCGCGCCCCTGTCGTCCCAGCTACTCGGCAGGCTGAGGCAGGACAATCGCTTGAACCCGTAGGCGGAGGTTGCAGTGAGCCGAGATCGAGCCACTGCACTCCAGCCTGGGCGACAGAGCGAGACTCTGTCTCAAAAAAAAAAAAAAAAAAAAAAAGCCAAAAAAAAACCACACAAAAAAAACGAAAGCGAGTGCTGGTGCGGAATTTGGGGGTGGGGCCAAGGTCGCCTAGACCTGGCCTTGTTCCACCCCCGTTGGACATACCGCATCGTGGTCCTCCTGTTCCTGCAGCTGTCGAGCGATGTAGCTGATAGAGGAGACGACCTCCCGTAGCTCCGGAAGCAGGGCCACAGCCCGGTTTGGACCATCGATAAATCGCCGCAGATCAGGGGCAGACAGTTCAGGCTGGAACCTGGAAGAGGAGTGACTGGCCACGCCCAAACGCAAAGACAGCCAGTGCCGGCGACCCAGGCCCCGCTCCAGCTGCCTCCAACAACTTGCCAGTTCTCAAAACCCGAGAGCCCATCATGCTTTTCCCTCCAGCAGTGATCTCTCTAGCCTTGTGCAACTTCTTCCACCGCCTCTGTTTTAGTTCCCACCTCCCCTCAAAGTGAGCAGCAGGAGTACTACAACTCCCATGATGCTCAACCACAGCGTCTTCCGAGAGCATGGGCCGCTTCTTCCGCACACTCTTCTGGGAACTGTAGTTCTCCCTCTCCCTCTTATGTGGGTAACGGGCGTAGTCCTACCTATTGGGTTTGGGGAAGAGAAAATCACTTGGCGGCTTCCGGATGAAATATTCATCTGTTCCCCGACCCCAGCCACTTCCTGGAGAAGAACAGTGAGGGGGCTCCGGCATCAGGTCTCTCTCGGGTTTGGGCCTTTTTAGACGCAGGTACAGCGGAAGTTTGTGAATGAAGATCTGCAGAGTAGAAGAGGCGTATTGGTGGGGGCTTTCATGCTTTCAGACCAGAAGGGAAACAGCCAACCACCCCACTCCACATGCCCATTCCCGCGCGTGAGTATGTGCGTGCATATTCTTCCACAAACGAGCTACACAAGGAAATGCAGCCACACAGACCTAAGAGCTCTTTAGTGGGTTGGGCCTGTCGCGGTGGCTCACGCCTGTAATCGCAGCACTTTGGGAAGCCAAGGCAGGTGGATCACCTGAGGTCAGGAGTTCAAGACCAGCCTGGCCAACATGGTGAAACCCTCTCTCTACTAAAAATACAAAAATTAGCTGGGCGTGGTGGCGGGTGCCTGTAATCCCAGCTACTTGGGAGGCTCAGGCAGGAGAATCGCTGGAACCTGGGAGGTGAAGGTTGCAGTGAGCTGAGATTGTGCCATTGCACTCCAGCCTGGCCACAAGAACAAAACTCCATCTCAAAAAAAAAAAAAAAAAAAAAAAAAAGCTATTTAGTGGGTTGGGAGGTATCCCAACTGGAAAGAGAGGGCTTCCAATCTGATAGTACCTAACCCTAAGAATATTTCCCTGGGACCCGAGATGGGCAGTATTGATGAAGAGAGTATGGGATCTGTGAAATGATAATGATGGGGGCTAGCTTAACTGTGCAACATTTCAACACTCAACAAGCTTGGACACTTCAACACTCTGCCACATAGCTATAGTTCTCCCTATGGTCTGTAAAAGGAAAATTGGGGTTGGAGGAGGAGATCTTTCTTACCTGACGGACCCAAAGGGGCATTTGGTGGGTGTGGGGTGAGCGGTGGTGCAGGTTGAGAACCACGACACTAAGGATGACTGAGAAGGTGACGAGGACCATGGTAAACATGAGGTACTTGATAATAATGGGTACTGATAGTGAGGTCTCAGGTACTTTGTCAGCCAGCAGCAGCAGGAACACAGTAAGGGTCAGCAGGGCAAAGATTGAGAGCCCCATCTTCTCTCCTTGGAGGGCAGAGGGGAAGAGAGAAGGATTAGACTTGCCTGAAGGAAAGCTCTATGGCATAATCAGTGACCATGTTTCCAGGCCATTCAAAGACAGATTTCTACAGCCAGGCACAGTGGTTCACACCTGTAGTCCTGGCACTTTGGGAGGCCAAGGTGGGAGGATTGCTTGAGCCCAGGAGTTTCAGACCAGCCTGAGCAACATAGGGAGACCTCTTTTCTACAAAAACAAATTTGAGGCTGGGTCTTGCTCTGTCACCCAGGCTGGAGTGCAGTGGCATGATAATGGCTCATTGAAACCTCCACTTCCCAGGCTCAAGTGGTCTTCCCACCTCGGCCTCCTGAGTAGCTGGGACTACAGGTGCACGCCACCATGCCCAGCTAATTTTTGTACTTTTTGTAGAGACAGGATTTCACCATGTTACCCAGGCTGGTCTCAAACTCCTGAGCTCAAGTGATCCACCCACCTTGGCCTCCCAAACTGTTGGGATTACAGGCGTGAGCCACTTTGCCCAACCTCTACAAAAAGAAAAAAAAAAAAATTAGCCAGGCACAATGGCGCATGCTTGTGGTCCCAACTATTTGAGAGGCTGAGTTGGGAGGACTGCTTGAGTGTGGAAGATGGAGGCTGCAGTGAGCTGTGATGGCACCACTGCCTTCCAGCCTGAGCAACAGAGCAAAACTCCATCATAAAAAAAAAAAAAAAAAAAAAAAGACAGGCTTTTGGAAGGGCCATCTGCATGTAAATCATTCCTACATTTGTATGTCCACCCTGGACTTCTCCCCTGAATGCCAGATATATATCCATCTGCCTACTCAACCTCTCTTGGATAGTTGGATGTCTAATAAATATTTCAAGCTTAACATGTCCAAAACTGAGCCGGGTACAGTGGCTCACACCCGTAATCCCAGCACTTTGCGAGGCCGAGGCAGGCGAATCACCTGAGGTCAGGGGTTCGAGACCAGCCTGGCCAACATAGTGAAACCCCATCTCTACTAAAAATACAAAAAATTAGCTGGGCATGGTGGTGGGTGCCTGTAGTCCCAGCTACTAGGGAGGCTGAGGCAGGAGAATCACTCGAACCCAGGAGGCAGAGGTTGCAGTGAGTCGAGATCGTGCCATTGCACTCCAGCCTGGGCATCAAGAGCAAAACTCCATCTCAAAAAACAAAAGCAGAAACAAAATAAAACAAAATGTCCAAAACTAAATTATCTTACTACCAAAGCTACTCCTCTGATAGTCTTCCCTATCTCTTATGTATTTATTTATTTTTAGACAGACTCTCACTCTGTCACCCAGGCTGGAGTTTAGTGGCGTGATTGCAGCTCACTGCAACCTCTGCCTCTTGGGTTCAAGCAGTTCTCCTGTCTTAGCCTCCCGAGCAGCTGGGATTACAGGTGCATGGCACCACACTTGGCTAACTTTTTGTATTTTTAGTAGAGACAGGGTTTCACCATGTTGGCCAGGCTGGTCTTGAACTCCTGACCTTAAGGGATCTGCCCACCTTAGCCTCCCAAAGTGCTGGGATTACAGGCGTGAGCCACCACGCCTGGCCTATACCTACGTTTAATTGCATGCAGATTAAGCAACGGATTAGGCAGAAATTTCTAGGGAAAGGGCAGTAACTTCTGTGTCATCAGGTGATTGCCAAAGGGGTGGTAACTCCCAGGTGTTTCCATGGCAATGGTAAACTGACATGGCACACTCGTGAGTATGTCTTATGGAAAGCTGCATCTGCCCTGTTCCTGTTCTAGCTGGTCCTCAATTTGGTCTGGAGTCGAGTCCCACCTCCTACATCACCACCTTGCTCTAAAGCACATTACCTTAGGTCTGAATTATTGTAAAGCCCTCCTAACTGGTCTCTTTGCTCCATCCTTTTCTCCCATGCTGACTGTTCTCAACCGAGCAGCCAGACTGATTTTGTTAAAATATAAATCAAGCTGGGTGCGGTGGCTCATGCCTGTAATCCTAGCATTTTGGGAGGCTGAGGCGGTCAGATCACCTGAGGTCAGAAGTTCGAGACCAGCCTGGCCAACATAGCGAAACCCCATCTCTACTTAAATTACAAAAAATTTAGCTGGGCATCGTGGTGTGTGACTGGAATCCCAGCTACTCGGGAGGCTGAGGCAGAATAATCGCTTGAACCCGGGAGGCGGAGGTTGCAGTGAGCCAAGATCGTGCCACTGCACTCCAGCCTGGGTGACAGACAGGGACTGTATCTAAAAAAAAAAAAAAAAAGAAAAAGGAAAGAAAGAAATAGAATCAGATCATATTATTCCTCTTTCCAGAACCTTCCAGTGGCTCCCCCTCTCCTGCATGAAAGCAGGGGTTGAGGGGGCTTCCAGGGCTGGGGTGGCCCTCTAGGACAGCCTGGTGTGGGTGGCGGCGGGGCTGTGGCCTCAGTGGCCCTGACTGCTGAGCATGTAGCTGAGCTTGCTGGAGTGAGGACGTCCTTGGGTGGGGGCATGGAGGACGGGCCCTGGAAGCTGCTCCAGGCCCTGGAGGGCCCAAGATTAAACAGCACCTGGCAAGAGAACCTTGCATAGCTGTCTCCAGGTTGGACAGGTGGGGCTTCAGGCCTGGAGATAAGGGCACACCAGGCCATGGTGTCCTGGACCAGAGAGCCCTGGACACCTGGGCTGCACCTGGCAGAGCTGTGCATGTGGCCTTCCTGGGCTCTTGGTGGCCGAAAGACCAACGTTAAAAAACATAACAGGCTGGGCGGGGTGGCTTACACCTGTAATCCCAGCACTGTGGGAGGCCAAGGCGGGTGGATCATTTTAGGTCAGGAGTTTGAGACTAGCCTGGCCAACATGGAGAAATCCCATCTCTACTAAAAATAGAAAAATTACTCAGGCATGGTGGCTCATGTCTGTAATCCCGGCTACCGGGGAGGGAGGCTGAGGCAGGAGAATTGCTTGAACCTGGGAGGTGGAGGTTGCAGTGAGCCGAGATCGCGCCACTGCATGCCAGCCTGGGAGACAGAGCAAGACTCTGTCTCAAAAAAAAAAAAAAAAAAAAGAAAAGAAAAGAAAAGAAAAGAACCTGAAACATCCACCCAACACATGCCCCAGTGAAACTCACTTGCCTGTTCTAGCATGCCCAAGGCCATAGCAACTCAGACCAGAAGGCCAAGGGTGTTACTCAGCATCAGTGGTTCTGGGCCTTCCTGGGTCTAGAGTCCCTTTGAAACGCAGCTGGTTATGGTCTATAGGTCCTTCCCATGAGCTCCTTGACTTCATCTCCTACTGCTTTCCCCTCTGCTTACTTCATTCAGTTCTACTGGCCTCCTTTCTGTTTCTTGAGTACTCCTGACCTCAGGTGATCCACCAGCCCCAGCCTCCCAAAGTGCTGGGATTACAGGTGTGAGCCACCACGCCCAGCCTGCTTTCCTTCTTTAGACAAAGGATTTGATGGCAGAGAGGAGGAAAGCATGTTTTGAATACCAGAGCTAAGGATATCAGGTCTCTGAATCAGACTGCCACTGACCCAGGTTGGAATTGCAACACTGCCCCTCTCTAACTGTGTAATGATTTCAGGCAAATGACTTAAACTCCTTCAGCCTCTTTATCCTCCACTGTAAAATGAGAATGACAATTCGTTACTTACCTCACAGGATTGTTGTAAAGTTTAGAATTAGTACATGTACCATGTTAAATGAATTACCTTATAGCAAGTGTTCAAAAAAGAAAAACAAAAAACAACCCAAAACCCAGTGCTTACATAGAACTTACTGGGTGCCAGGCATAGTTCTATTAACTCTGTCAATCCTCAAAATAATTCTAGGCGGTAGGGACAATGGTTGGCCCACTTCCAGATCAGGAAACTGAGACACATAGGGATTAAGGAATTTGGCCAGGTGTGGTGGCTGATGCCTATAATCCTAGCACTTTGGGAGGCTGAGGCAGGTGGATCACTGAGGTCAGGAGTTCGAGACCAGCCTGGCCAACATAGTGAAACCCCATCTCTACTAAAACTACAAAAATTAGGCAGGCATGGTGGTGGGCACCTGTAATCCCAGCTACTCAGGAGGCTGAAGCAGGAGAATCGCTTGAACCCAGGAGGTGGAGGTTGCAGTGAGCCAAGATCATGCCACTGCATTCCAGCCTGGGCAACGGGGCAAAACTCTGTCTCGAAAAAAAAAAAAAGATTAAGGAATTTGCCAAAAGTTATCCTATTTTGCTGCCTCCTAAAGATATGTTGACTATTACTATTATTTATTTATTTATTTATTTATTTATTTATTTATTTATTTTTTGAGACAGAGTCTGTCTCCCAGGCTGGAGTTCAGTGGCACAATGTCGGCTCACTGCAAGCTCCGCCTCCCGGGTTCACGCCATTCTCCTGCCTCAGCCTCCCAAGTAGCTGGGACTACAGGCGCCCGCCACCACACCTGGCTAATTTTTTGTGTTTTTAGTAGACATAGAGTATCACCATGTTAGCCAGGATGGTCTCAATCTCCTGACCTCGTGATCCACCCACCTCGGCCTCCCAAAGTGCTGGGATTACAGGCGTGAGCCACCGCGCCCGGTGGCTATTACTATTATATATTTCCCAGGGAGATAGGAGGTTAAAGGACTAGTGGGGGCCGAGCGCGGTGGCTCATGCCTATAAGCCCAGTACGTTGGGAGGCTGAGGCGAACAGATCGCTTGAGTTCAGGAGTTGCAGACCAGGCTGGGCAACATGGTGAAACCCTTTCTCTACCAAAAATACAAAAAAATCAGCTGGGCATGATTGTGGGTGCTTGTGGTCTCAGTTACACAGGAGGCTGAGGTGGGAGGATTGTTTGAGCCCAAGAGTTTGAGGCTGTAGCAAGCCATGATCACACCACTGCACTCCAGCCTGGGCAAAAGAGCAAGACTCTGTCTCAAAAAAAAAAAAAAAAAAAAAAAGGTCGGGCCCTGTGGCTCACGACTGTAATCCCAGCACTTTGGGAGGCCGAGGCGGGCAGATCATGAGGTCAGGAGATCGAGACCATTCTGGCTAACACGGTGAAACTCCGTCTCTACTAAAAATACAAAAAATTAGCCGGGCGTGGTGGCGGGCACCTGTAGTCCCAGCTACTCGGGAGGCTGAGGCAGGAGAATGGCGTGAACCCGGGAGGCAGAGCTTGCAGTGAGCCGAGATTGCACCACTGCACTCCAGTCTGGGTGACAGAGTGAGACTCCATCTCAAAAAAAAAAAAAAAAATTAAAGGAGTAGTGGGAGTCTGAAAGTGGGCAGGGAATGTTGGGAAAGGGAATGGGAGAGCTATCTAAGCCTGGAGGTTTGTGGTTCAGAGGAGTAAAGGCTTTATGGATTAGAGGCTAGGACTCCTATTAGGAAAGAGTTCCAGTTTCACTGAGCGGAGGAAAGGTGGCAGTCAACGGGAGGCAGAGCCTGGGCGGGATTGCTGAAGCCCAATCTATGATGCTTTGGATTGGCAGGAAAACCCTGCCTGGATTAAGGATAAAGAGTAAGAAGCTGAGCCAATGACAAAAGAGTAAGGAGCCCCTTCCCCCATTACCTGCATCTGGTGGCAGGTAGAAGACGAAGATGGCCAGAAGAGTGATGAGGATGCATGGGGCAATGACGTTGACCAGGTAGAAGAGAGGCTTGCGGCGGATGATGAGGTAGAAGATGACTTCCTGGCGCTGTCCTTCCCTCCCTCCCCTAGGATCGCCTGGAGGCTGGATTAGCCGAGAGGGCTTGTGGATAATCTCCCACTGGCCATTCTCTGGGGATGAGCAGAAGGAGGGGAACACAGATGTGAGAGCTGTCCTGGTTAGTGCCAGGTATGGCTTGCTCTGCCACAGCCTAGACCTGAGAGGGCTGACTTGATGAAACTAGCTGTGAAAACTGGGCTGAGTAGCCCATCTCTAATAAACTTGGGCAAGTCTCAATTTCCATATTTTTATTTATTTATTTTGAGACAGAGTTTTGCTCTTGTTGCCCAGGTTGGAGTGCAGTGGCGTGATCTCGGCTCACTGCAACCTCCGCCTCCCAGGTTCAAGTGATTCTCCTGCCTCAGCCTCCCAAGTAGCTGGGATTACAGGTGTCCACCACCACACCTGGCTAATTTTTTGTATTTTTAGTAGAGACGGGGTTTCACCATGTTGGCCAGGGTGGTCTCGAACTCCTGACCTCAGGTGATTTGCCCGCCTCCACCTCCCAAAATACTGAGATTAAGTCGTGAGCCACTGCGCCAGGCCCTTTTTTTTTTTTTTTTTTTTTTTTTTTTGAGACGAACTTTCACTCTGTTACCGAAGCTGGAGTGCAGTGGCGCCATCTCGGCTCACCGCAACCTCCACCTCCCAGGTTCAAGCGATTCTCCTGCCTCAACCTCCCAAGTAGCTGGGATTACAGGCATCTGCCACCATGACTGGCTAATTTTTTGCATTTTTAGTAGAGACGGGGTTTCACCACGTTAGGCTGGTCACGAACTCCAGACCTCAAATGATCCGCCCGCCTCGGCTTCCCAAAGTACTGGGATTGCAGGCATGAACCACTGCCCCCGGCAATTTCCATACTTTTAAAATGTAGATAGCCATACCCATCCTGCTGACCCCACAGGGCTATATTGGGCATCACTGACAGTATATTTATGAGTCTGTTAGAAGCTGGAAATGATAGAGCCCATGGATGTAGGAGCCATGCCTACTCACCAATGAAAGTCCCTTCATGAATGTGGATTTCCTGATGCCCTTGCCCGTCAGGACCCAGGCCTGTCTGCAGGCTGACCTCCGAGCTGTCGTAGCTGTAGGAGCTGAACACCATAGTGCAATTCTGCCAGTCGAAGGGGAAGTAGGTGACCTGGATGGAGGAGAGAGTCACTAGAGCTGCCAGAGAACCAGTCAGCGCTGGTGGAGTTTGGGAGGTCTTTGGGGAGGGCACAGAGAAGGGAAATCATGGAGGAATTGGAGGGTTATGAAGGGAAGCCATTAATGGGGGAGGGATGGGGAGGGCGGTCACTGAGTAAGACTAGAAGTCAAAGAAAGTGTACAGAACACTCAATGGAAAACCAGGAGGGTAGACGAGGTGAGGGTCATGGGGATTAGATAATGGGGGAAGGATGAAGGATGGGAGTCGCCGGGGAGTCAGGATGTCTAAGGAAAGGGAGGATTTGTAAGAGCTCCTTCAGCTTCCAATGTGGAGGCCGGAAACCTGGATGCTGCAGCTGCTGCGATAGATGCCCGGGGGTTGCCAACGCACGGAGCCGTCGGAGGACACCACGACGCTAATGTCCAGAGCCACGTCAAAATTCCCATCATTGCTGCAGAGAAGGGATCTCATCAGGGATCAGGCCCCGCGCCCGGAGGCCCCCCGCCCCCCGAGGCCCCGCGCCACCTCCCGGGCTTTGGAAGTTCTCCTACTTGTTCAGTAGCACCACGTCAGGGAGCCACACGGATTCCGCCGTGATGCGGAGCGAATCGATGCCGTCGTGCTCCGCAGGGTCCCAGCTCAGCCTGTAGTCAGTCCACTCCTAGTGAAGCAGAGGCTGAGGGGCTGCCCCGGGTTGGAGGCCGGGAGGGACTTGGGATTTCCAAAGGAAGCCCAGGAAGGGAGTGCAAGGAAGGGGAGCAGGACAGGCATAAACTGTGGGTCAAGGGGCCGTGGTTCTGGCTCTGGCTCCGCCTTCACTCGCTGGGATCCACATCAGCTAATTTCCCTCCCCCGCACCGGGTTTCAATATTTTACTCTGTAAAAATGAGGAGGCTGCAGTAGCTAGCCTCTAAAACGGTTTTCAAACTGCAGTTCGCAATCCTTTAGTGGATGGGGAATGAAATTAGCGGCCCCAAACCAGTGTTTCAAAAATTAGAATGGGCCAGGTGCAGTGGCTCACGGCTGTAATCTCAGCACTTGTGGAGGTTCCCCCCGAGGCTGGTGGATGGCTCGAGCCCCCGCATTCAAGAACAGCCTGTGCAACATAGTGAGACCGCATCACACACACACACACACACACACACACACACACACACACACACACAGACACACACACACACACACACACAAAATTGGAATTAAAAATGCATGGGGTGTAACTCCTGTAGTAAAGTTAAGTGTTGTTTCTTCGAGCTTTTGCTTCAGTTATAAACGTGTTATCTAAAGTCATGATGTAAAAAATATTCTTACTGGGCTGGATATTCAAGGAAATTGTCAAGGCAGAGGGAAGCCCTTTCCCACCCCGTGGGGTCTCCATACCAGGTCTAAGTACACCTTTGTGCTCATCTCTTCATCCTTCTCGTTCTAGAAGGGAAAAATTTAAGGCGTAAAGGTGAAGTAGGGTGGAGAGAAATGAGGGGGCTCGGGGGGCCAACCTCTCTCCTGGGAACGCCGCCCCCTTTTTCTGAGCCCCATCCTCTCGGGTCCAAGTCCACCTCCCAGAAGCGGCGTTAGTTTAAGACCTGCCTCTATCTCAGAAACACCTCTTCCTGCCGTCTACACTCCCAGCCTATCAACCTACCAGACCCGCCCCTGCCTAGCCCTCCGCCTAGCTCTGTCCCCGGCCCTGCCTTCAGCTCATAATCCACCCAGCCCCGAACCTCCACCCGCTGCCATTTATTGACCCCTGAGCACCAAGCTCCGCCCCACCCTGGGCACTCAGGACTCATGTGGCCCTACGTCGAGGTCCGTCCCCCAGCCCCTGCCTCGTCCCCAGCCCCACTTTAAGGTCCGATCACAGGTCCGTCCTTCACCCTACCCAGTTCTACTCCAGGCCCGTCCACCACCCACGGCCAGAGCTTGTCCATTGGTCTGATTTCGATCCAATCTTCACCAAAGGCTGGTCCATCTCAGCCTGGTCTCGTCCCAGGCCCCGCCCCCAGCCTGTCCCTGGTCCGGCCTTGCCTAAAGCCACGCCCCCGGCCGGTCGGCTGGCCTGACCTCCACCCCCCGCGCGCCCTCACCAGGCTGATGAGTTGCGCCAGGATGAGACCAACGCTGACCCTGACACGGTCTCCCACCTCCCGCGCTGGCCGCACGGAGCTATCATAGCCAGAGAAAAGTTTCTCCCGGAGTCGACCCTCCGCCTCCGAGCCGCGGACGCCTGGGGGAGGAGAGAATAAGTGCAGCCCTGGTGCCTGGCCACGACCGCTGGCCCCGTCACTGCCCCTTCGGGGCCTACACTTACCTGGGGCGAGCGGCGCCCCCAGCGCCCCCAGCAGCATCAGCAGAGCCCCTGGGGTCATAGCCTGGCGGCTCGCTCAGTGACTTCGCTCAGAGAGCCGCTGGGACCGCCAGCACAGGGGAAGTGACGAGGAGCCCGGGAATGTGCACCTGTTGCTGGAGGACAGCCGCCAGCCCACCCGCCCCGCCCCCGGGACTTGATCCTGCCTCGAGCAACTGCCAAGCCCGCCACCGACAGATGACAGACAGCACTTCAGTTGTATAAATCGTCTTTAATTGAGAAAGCTGGAGTGGAGACCCGATCCCCTGGGAGCAGTGCCAGGAGTTGGGTGGAGACTGAGTGGGGTTTGTGTGGGTGAGGGGGCATCTACTCCTCTTGCAACAAGCCAGAAGTAGAACAGCCTAAGGAAAAGTGACCTGCCTTGGAGCCTTAGTCCCTCCCTTAGGGCCCCCTCAGCCTACCCTATCCAAGTCTGAGGCTATGGAAGTCTCCCTCCTAGTTCACTAGCAGGTTCCCCATCTTTTCCAGGCTGCCCCTAGCACTCCACGTTTTTCTGAAAAAATCTAGACAGGCCCTTTTTGGGTACCTAAAACCCAGCTGAGGTTGTGAGCTGTAAGGTAAAGCAAGTTCTATCCAATTAGAAGCTGTTGGGGCGTATGAGGTCTGGAGTGCAAGAGGCCTTCACCCTTCTTGGCCTGACCTGTAGGGGAGAAGGGTGAGACTTATTGCTGAATTGGGGTCTCCTCACTGGGAGGGTCAAGGCTGTATCCATTTGTCCTTTTTATTAAGGACATATTACTCTAAGGACCTCAGCTTTAAAGGGGACCTGGAAGGAATTCCTGCTGAGGTAGCTAAGTATTCATGTCCACCCAACACAGATGCAGGTTCAGTCATGCCATAATTTTGACCCCTCCCCCATCCCAGCTTCCCTACTATGAGCCAGGGATCCTTCCAAAATTCCTCTGCCCTTCTCCAGACTCTGTCTCCCTGGCACGACCTCAGCTGGGTTGAAGGAGCTAGAAACTGCATGTAAAAATAAGCTTAGCATTCTATATGGAAGAATCATATTTTTAGAGAATTATCTAGGAAAAACAAGAAATGGTTCTTGATTCATCCAGAAGTGTTTTTATGAATCATAGCTGGGTCTTTTCCAGAACTCATCCGTAATAGGTATCACTCAAGAAGGCGGGAGGGTGGGGCTAGAACTTACTTAGAACAATAATATGGCTATACAGGCCCCAGCTCCATCCTGGGTAAAAGGGCTGAGAGTCATGATCTATGTCCTAGAGCTAGGATTCAGGGGGAAGTACGGCTCCATAAAGCTCTAGAATTGGGTGTCTCTGGGATAAGAAGGTTAAACCCGTGGTCATCTGAGACTGGTTCCGGTTCAGGCCAAAGCCAACAGCTAGACAAGGCCCAAATCTAGCCTCTTTCTACTTGGAAACCAGGGGTCCATCTGAGTCAATGACAGAGGCCTGACAGATCCAGAGAAAAGGCTGGCAGCATGCCTGGGTTCCAGCACAGAGCCCTAGTGCAGAAGTGGCCCTGGCGAGGGTGTCCAGTGTTCCAGAATGTGTCCAGACCAAGGTAGAAGGTAGAGTAGGGAAAGAAGGACACATGAATCCTGAGCTCCAGTGAATCTAGAAATGGCTCAGTGGCAATGAAAAGGGGCACAGGACTCCAGGAACTGGCTGAGCCGGGGTGGGAAGTGTTTATGCCCTGGCTGTCCATGTGGGAACTCCCAGCGCCATCTCAGGAAAAGGCATGGCGTTGTGTGAGTGTGGAAAGAAAGAAGTGATCAGCCAGGACCATCTTCAGACATCCCCCTCTCTGACTCCCTCCTAGGCCCAAAGATCTAAGGGTCTCAGCAGCCTCGGAAGTCACAGTCAGCCCCTAGGCTCCCTCAGGGTAGAGCACCTAGTGGGACCTGGCTGCTCAGGGCATGTGTGTGGCAGCAGGGGTGAGAGCAGGACTGGGAGACAGGTTGTGGTGGTGGCTGGCTCACTGGGAGTGCAGGGAACCTCCAGTCCAGGGACTACATTTCAGGGGGCAGGGGGACTGGAAGGGGAGGCCTCGGGGACACTGTGGAGAGAAGGCTCCTGGTACATGGCCACTGTGAAGGGGAGAAAGAGAGGAGCAGGGAAGGAGAGTTAGGCACAGAGGGACCCAGGCAGAACCAGTGCTCCAAAAGGGCTCCCTTCCCGTACATTCACCCTCCAAGAACCCCAACCCCACAGGAGGACCGCACCCAAACCCCCAAAGGGCAAAGCCTTCCTGGCTTGATCTGTCACAAAGGGTCCTCTTATCACTTGTAGCCTGAGCTGTCTGCCCCTAAATGTCCATATCAAGGTCAATACCCTCTCCTGTGGCCCACATTTTCTTGAGTCTATACCCACCCTCCAGGAGCTTGGGCAGAAAGTGGGCAGCTGCCTTGGTCTTCTTAACTCGGTTTCCCTTCATGACCTGGCCCTCCTTGTCCAGGCCGAGGTACCAGGCCCGGCCAGAACGACGCTGGCGGTAGAGAGCAGAGGCGTACAGGACGTAGTAATTCTCAAAGACACACTCCTTAAAGCGACACTCAGCTGTGAAATGCGGCTAAGGAGACAAAGACCCAGAAAGGCGCACAAAGACAGAGAGATAAAAAGACACATCACTGGGCAGAAAGGAGCTCATGGAAAGCACAAATCCTTTTTGGGGGAGGGGGAGGACAACTTCTGAGTCCATGTAGGACCTGGGAGCAAAGGGAGGACAAGGAAGAGGGCTGAGGGCTAAGAACTAGGCTCTGGGCCAAGCACAGTGGCTCATGCCTATAATCCCAACACTTTGGGAGGCCGAGGCGGGTGGATCACCTGAGGTCAGGAGTTCCAGACCAGCCTGGCCAACATAGCAAGACCCTGTCACTATTTAAAAAAAAAAAAAAGAACTAGACTTTTAGGGGTCTTGCAATAAGATTCCTTCTCTCCACTGTACTCCCAGTCTCTCACTATCCCCTATCCTGGATGACTCTAGGGAAGTGAGTAATGACAAAATCTGGAGGAGGTGGGATAAGAAGTAGGGGCCCTAAAAGGCAGAAAGAGTTGGACATTCAAAGAACCTGGGGCTGTTTTGGGGGTGTGCAAGGAGTGGGGACTGGAGAGACCCTAGAGGAGCTGGTCTGGAATGGGCAGCGATGACAGGCCATCAGCAAAGCTGGAGGGAGGAGTCCCGGGCAAAATGTCTGTAGTTGAGGAAGGTTGTCATTCCCTCAAGGGACAAATTGAGGAAGGGGAGTCCCCAGTATTTCCCGGCCACTCAGCCTCATTGTCTCACCGAACTGTAGAGCAGTCCCTCAGCATTCATGGCCATGTAGTGACCCAGCTTGGCGCTCTGGATGGTGACCACACGGAGGCCCACAGGGATCAGGTTGAAGTGGGCTGCAGGTGGAGAGAGGGAGCATCAATACCCAGGCCTCTGACCCTCACCTGAGCTCCCCTCATCCCAGCTCCACTTTTTCCCTTAGAGGTCAGGAAGACGGATCAATGGCAACAGAAGCTGAAGAGGGAATAGGATTGTCATCTCCTGTCCCCATTCTCCCCCTTCCCACCCTGCAGCCAGCTTCCCCTCTCACTGAAGGAGCTGGTATCCTCTGGGGTGCCCTGGATGCTTCCGTCGGGATTCGCCTGGAGGTAGAAACCCTGGCGGCAGAACAGTTTGGTGACGATGCCTTTGAGCTGAGGCTCTGGAGAGAGAGACATTCATCTTTGAAAATGACATCTCCGTTCCCAGAAACATTCCTACACTTGGCAGGATTAGAGGGAAGAAAGGAGAATGAAAGGAAGGAAGAGGGTCCCAGGGCCCCAGCTCTCTTATCCTCCAAGCACGCTCTCTCCCACCTCTCTTTCACTCCTGGGAAAGCTGGTGTGGGTCCCTTCTGTTTCCTATAACCAGGAGCTTTCAGTGTAATTTATTGAAATTTATTTAAATGGCTTAATTCCTACCCTACAGCTCAACCAGAAGGGGGAAGGAGTGGGGGAGGAGGGAGGGGAGAGATATATCAAAAGGCAGGGACAGAGGGAGACCAGCAGGGGTACTGAAGGGGCAGCGTGTTTGCGAAGGTGGGGGATCTTGGCAGCAGCAAATTGACCACAGGGTAGGGGCTCTCCCTCAGGAGTGGGGGTGGGACTGGGCCTGACGCTGACTCAGCACCTGCTGCGGCTGCCGCTAGCTTGGCGAGAGCCTTGCCTTGGCCCAGCGCCGGCCTGTCTGACACTGACCCATCTGTCTGTCTGTCTGTCTGTCTGTCAGTCCGCTGGCTCCCGGGGGCCCAGTTCTCCCTGAGGCTCAGCCTCTCCCCTTCGGCCAGGTAACTCGCCTGGGGTAAGGGGGACCTTACCAAGGATATGGGGGGTGGGAGCTGAGGAGATGGAGAGGCAGGCTGAGTCACGTGGGGGCCCGGTCCTACTCAGAGGGTGGGCTGCGGATTGTACCACTATGGGCAGCCGGTGGCGCGGGGAGGAGGGCGCGAGGTGGCTACCCTTAGGGGAGCTGGGAGCGGGCGGGAGCAGGGCCAGAGGGACTCCCTGACTGTCGTACATGGACGGGGACCAATTCTAACTCTCACAACTCTCCTCCCCCATCGCTTGCTCTCTGCCGACTTCCCTGTCCCCCCTTGTAGGTGGTACGACCCCCGAGTCGGCGCCCATCTCTAGCCGTGAACTGTGTCTGAGTTCCTGCCAGCGTAGGGTCCCCTGAGCCTACGGGACCCGATTTCGGAGTGGCGCGGGGGTTATGGGAGGGGTGCCCAGCTCCGTTCTTGAAGCGCAGGTCACAGGAGGAGGGCGCATAGAGGGCTGGCTGGCGAGGTAGCTGCAAGGACACCCGAGGGAGAGCTGGGGAGATTGGCTCGGAGCCAGCAGAGCTCGACCAGGAGGAACCGAGCCCAGGCGTGGAGGAGCGGGAGAACCGGGGCAGGCGGGGGCTGGGGGGGGGCGTGCGGCTGGAGCTGCAGAAATCCTTGGGGTGACCCAGGCATCTGGAAACCCCCGGGCCCCTCCGCTCCAGATTGAAAGAATCGCGAGAACCGGCACGTAGGCGGAGGACGATGGGGGTGGGGACTGCTGTGTTGGGAAGGGGGGACGAGCAGGAACTACGAGGCTTTCGGGGCGCCAGGCAGCCCCTCAAGCCTTCCCCTTGACCTCGAAAATAAGGAGACTCCGGGTTATGGACAAAAGAGAAGGGAAACTGAGGCACAGTCTGGCAGGGACTTTGTCGTCCTGGCCCACCCCCTTCCACTTTCGGGGAGCCCCTCAGCCGGGCCCTATTCTTCAGAGTCCCTGGCCTCAATCTCCCAGGCAGAGAAACCTCTGGCCGGGAGACCCCGCCCCAGCCGCACTCACCCGGGCCGCGGTCCGGCCGCGCGGGCCGCCCCCCGCACAGTCGCACCTTGGACAGCAGGATGAGGAGCTGCTTCTGGCAAAGGGACTTGGTGCCGCGGGGACACACGCGCCGCTGCGCCGACACCGGCCGGCTGCCCCCGGGCTCGCGGACCTCCCGCTTCTGCCGGATCAGGCTACTGGCCAGCGCCGCCATAGCGCCCCGGGAGGAGACACCCCCAAACCGGCAGGCGCCCGGAGCGCGCTGGGCTCCCCCAGAGGAGCCCGCTCACTAGGGCATGCTCTTGACGCTCAGGCCCCGACTCGCTGCCCCACCCACAGGACCTGAGGATAAGCCCCAGACCCCCCCCCTCACGTACCCCCCTCCACAGCAGCCAGTTACCACCCGTGGGCCCAGTGCTGGCTCCACCAGATCCAGCAGCCTATGTACTCCTCAGTGGATCCCACCCTCGAGTTTTGCCTCCTATTGAAAACGTCCCCTTTCCCTCCTCTCCAGTGTCTGTCCTCACTTCACCTATCCCAAAGCCAAGACCCACTAAATTTCCAAGACGTGGTTTAAATATCTTCAGGCACCTTTCCACTGTATTTTGGGGCACACTCCTGCCAAATCCACTCTTGTAATCTACAGGGTGTGGGACTTTAGCTTTGGGAATATTCGCTCATCCCACCCCTACTGGGGCACTGC
The DNA here is from genome assembly GCF_000001405.40 of Homo sapiens. Classification (NCBI taxonomy): domain Eukaryota; kingdom Metazoa; phylum Chordata; class Mammalia; order Primates; family Hominidae; genus Homo; species Homo sapiens. The sequence continues at coordinate 59,588 of NW_016107299.1, read as the reverse complement.
CAATGTCAGGAAGGAACCCAACCTTGGTGTTTTTTCCTTTGCTACACTCTAAATGGAGGGGATCCCCCACTTTTTTCACTGAAATCCCCCCAAAATATGTCTCAGAATATCCAGGTTGCCCAGGTTCAGTAAGACAGGGCTCCCAGACCCTCTGGCTGGATAATACCTTTTTCACCAAGTCCCCCCCATGTCTAGTAGCATAGAATTCTAGCGGCCAAGACCCTTTCTTCACCTTCACACCCTCCGCTCCTTTTGAAGTCACCTCCAAATCCACCCTTCCTAGTGGATACACCAGGTAGTTGACTGGAGGGCCTTCCGCCACCTCAAAATGAGGAGCATCCGTGTTTGTTTTTGTTTTTGTTTTTTTCTCCCCTGGCTGCCCCTTAAATTTTCTTGGGGACAGCTGGTGCTGTTTAGATCCCACGCCCTCCAATCTAACCAGCCCCCCAAGAGAGGAGTGCACCCACGTTGTCACCAGTCCCCAGATGTGAACAGGCCCCCTACAAGTCAGAGCGGATCACAGCTTCCTGCTACAGGGCTTCCTCGTCCTCCCCGGGATTGCCTATAGCACCCCCTCTTCCTTTTCCCGACGCCCCTCAACCTGTCCTGTCCTGTTGATCCGGCGACGGGTGGCGCTGGCTTCGGCTCCAGGCTCCTCCCTCCCTGTCCCCCGCAAACGGAGCTTCCCCCCACGCCCGGCTAGGCGTCCCGGACCCTCGGGAAGGAGTGAGGGTGTCTCTGCAGAGCTCCCCGGTCCGGCGAAGTCAGAGCACTGGGCCGGTGGCTGGACCAGGCAGAGCGGCGGCAGCGGCAGCGGCTGTGGGAAGCTGAGGCGGCGGCGGCGGCGGCGACAGCAGTTCCCCCTCCTCGGAGAGCCGGCCCGGGGGCGGGGCAGGGGGCGGAGACGCTGGGAAATAGGAGGGTGAAGCCGGGCAGGAGGAACCCCGGGGTTCCTTGGAGGTAGAGAGTGCGGACTGTGTCTTACAAGCAGGCAAAGCCGAGGCAAGGCCGCACGTCTCAGCCTTCAGAGGAGGAGGGACAGGAAGGCCTCCTGAACGCACCCCTGGGTAGGAAGGAGAGGTTGGGCCTAAGGGAGATGGAATGGCGGACGCTGGGAGAAGGGAGAGAGACCCTACTGGCCGGGATGTTAGTGAAGAAAGAACCGCACGAGTAAAGTGGGGGAAGAACTGGAGAGATGGAGGATGGGGGGTGGTGAGATCCAGCCTTGGGCGAAATCCGGCCTCCTTCATATCTCTGCCGTTGTGTGAGCCAAATTGATCAGACCCTGGTCTCCATAACTCCTTTTCGCGTTTGGTCAGCAAATATGTTTCTCCCATTTCTATTGGCCCTTAAGAGAAATGACCAAAAGAACTGGGGACAGACGGTTTCTGGAAGCTGCCCCTGGGCGGAGTGCTGGCCACAGATGTGGAGAATAGCGAGGCTGGAATGGGGCAACTTGTGCGGGGGCAGGCGGGTGGGCGTAGAGGAGGAACCAACAGGGAGGTCTTCCAGAAGGGGGGCTTCAGGCCCAGGGCACACAGTCAGTCCCCCTGGCGAGGGGCGAGCAGGGCCCCCCACGTCCCGCTCGCCCACAGAGGCACTTTCCACTGGTAGGAACAGCGTCTTTAATGGGCCCCGCCCCCCACGCCCGCCAAACCGCCCCCCTTGCGGGCCACTTTGGCCTCCTCCACCGCGGCACGGAGGGCCCGGGCCGGGTCCCCGCGGAGCCGGGCCAATTCTCCGAGCAGCGCAGCGGAGTCGTCCCCCGTACGGAGCTGTCGGCCGTTCAGAAAATAGTGAGGCAACGTCCCGGCCTCGAGCACTCGGCCGAGCTCGTCTAGCAGCCCGAGGCAGCAGGCGCCCGCATTTTCTGGCCGCGCCAGGTAGAGCGCAGGCAGCCGCTCGCACGCCCAGTACAGCAGCGTCCGCAGGAGGTAGGGCGCCGCCGCCCGGGTCCCGGCCACCAGCGGGCGCAGTAGCGCCTGGGCCGCCGCGTGCGCCTGCAGCAGCGGCGCTGGTATGCGCGCTTTGAGCGCCAGCTCCTGGCGGGCAAAACAGAGCTGCCAGGCGGAGGCGCACGGCCGCTCGGTGCCGCCACCGGGCACCAGGTAGAAGGAAGCCGACTCAGAGGCCAGCGGACCGGCCCACGAGTGGCTCCGAGCCCCCTCGGGCCAGCCCGCCACGGACACCACTGGGATCAGGTCGAAGAGCAGGAGGCGGCGAGGGGGCTCAGGGGTAGCCAGGAGGACGGTGGTGAAACCCGCGTGGCGAGCTGCGTGCACCAGACGCGGAGCACCCGGGACAGGGATCAGAGACTCGGCGACCGCCGCCAGCGTAGCAAAGAACCAGGCAGCCACCTGGGCGGAACATAATGTGGGCCACGCTTCCCGAGCCTCCGACGGCTTTGGGACTGGGCTTTCGACGGCTGCCTTGGTGACGTCACTACTCATTGTTTTCAAAGGTGCGGTAGAGCCAAGGTCGACGACGTCATGCTGAGGCGACTCGGACGCTGAAACGTCACTAGGCGATTTTTCCAAAGACACCGGCGCCTCGTGCTCAGTGACGTAGCTGTGCGGCTGGTCTACAGAGCTTTGCCAGTCCTTGGAACTTTCTTCGCTCTCCGTTCGGTGGATCGAATCACGTGCTCCTGGGACTGGGGGTCCTAAGCAATCCTGCCACATCTCCCGGATGGGGGTTCCGCACACCATCTCTGGGAGGCAGACCTGTGCGTAACAGGATTCCAGGTCCAGTTGCAGTTCAGTGCCGTCCAGTGAAAACATGGGCACTAGGAGTGTGAAGCCGGCATCGTAGTGAGGTCCCCGGGCGTAGGGACCCAGGGGTGCATGCCCCAGATCCAGGGAGCCCTCGCGAATCCCACCACGAAGCAGCAAGAGCTCTGCCTGGGGAGGAAAGCGAGGGTCCCGGCGGTGAACTAGACCTAAAAAAAGGGAACGGATCGTGAGGGCGTCGCCCAAAGCCGGGGCGGGGGCGGGGGCGTGGTGAGGCTGAGAGCTGTGAGTTCCCAAAGGCAAGTAGGGTTACTTACCAAGCAAAGAGAAGACAAAGTCCTTGGCCCGGAGGAGATCGGCTCCCGGCTTGGGCCCGTCACTCCAGCTCTCCTGCACACCCAGCTCCTGGATCAGCTGGGTCAATTCCTGCAGCTGCGCCCCGGAGCAGAAGTCGATGTCCGTGAGCGGCCGAGCTGGGGCCGGGGGCGGCGGGCCCCACCAGGGGGCACTCCCCCAGACTGCGGAAGCCATGCGGTTCTATCGCTTTGGGCTGCGGAAAACACGGAAGGGAGGTGGCTTTGCTGCCACAAAGTCGTCCCCGTTCTTCCCTCTTCCTGAGGCCGAGCGAGTGCCCCAGACACAACCTACAAATGGGTCTGTAGATGATGGGTTCTAAATTTAGTCCTCAAAATGAACAAATAAATACCTCTTCTATCCTGGCCCTTTTCTCATAGGCAGGTCCCCGCCCCCATGAACTGGTTCACCGGACTCAGCAGGTAAAAAGTAACTGTTGGCTCCTCCTACGGAATGCAGTAGCCAGCCTCCGCTGCCGCCCCTTGTCTACCTCCCTTTACCTCTTTTTTGGAAGAGGCTTATTAGTCTGCGGCTTCCCCCTTATGGGAAGCAGTAAGGGTGGGGAGCAGAAATAGATTCAACAGGTTACTTCTTCCTGATGCCCACGTGGCCACGCCCCTACATTTTCAGCCACGCCCCTTTCTGGAGGCTGTCGAGGTGGTTTCCGCCGGGTCGGGTCGCCAGTCAGAGCTCAATCACTCTTTTGGCCCTGCTGAAATCCCGCGTTATCCTGGGAGTTGTAGTTTCCCGCTCTACTAGGGCGTGGTAGCCACGCCCCCACATCCTTTCCTGTTCCGCTGAAGTAGTGCCTGATGGAAGTTGTAGTTCCTCTGGAGACAGATTATTCTGTGTCTTTTCACACCCATATCAACCCCACTCAAACATTCCTTGGGGTTTGAGAGGGGTAATAGGATGGCTCTGAGTCGCAAAAAATAATGAGGGATGGGCCGGGCGCGGTGGCTCCCGCCTGTAACCCCAGCACTTTGGGAGACTGAGGCGGGTGAATCACCTGAGGTCAGGAGTTCAAGGCCAGCCTGGCCAACATTGCGAAACCCTGTCTCTACTAAAAATACAAAAATTAGCCGGGCGTGGTGGCAGACGCCTGTAATCCCAGCTACTTAGGAGGCTGAGGCAGGAGAATCACTTGAACCTAGGAGGGAAAGGGTGCAGTGAGCTGAGATTGTGCCATTGCACTCCAGCCTGGGTGATAAGAGCGAAACTCCACCCTAGGGCCTGGGGAGAGATAGGGACCCCTGCCTGGGTGGGGTGGGGGGGGTGCATCTTGGAATCCCAAAAGTGGTAGTGTTAGGCAGGAGCACACAGATGGTGACCCAGAAATGGACGTTTGACTCATAGGAGAGACATACATGTTAGTGATGCCCACCTCAGCTCACTGCTACCTGAGTCGTGGCAGGGAAAACACTTTGGGATCTCAAATTTTTGTTTTGTTTTGTTTTGTTTTTGAGACTGAGTCTCGCACTGTTGCCCAGACTGGAGTGCTGTGGCGCAATCTCCGCTCACTGCAACCTCCACCTCCCGGGTTCAAGCAGTTCTCCTGCCTCAGCCTCCCGAGAAGCTGGGATTACGGCGCCTGCCACCATACCTGGCTAATTTTTTGTATTTTTAGTAGAGACAGGGTTTCACCATGTTGGCCAGGCTGGTCTTGAACTCCTGACCTCAGGTGATCCTCCCACCTCGGCCTCCCAAAGTGTTGGGATTATAGGCACGCGCCACTGCACCCGGCCTGGGCCACGACTTCTTACATTCCTTCTGCCCTTGGTCTGTCTCCAGGACGGGATAGGCCTAAGTCCATGGATAAGATAATTAAGGAGGACATCTAGGAAAATTAGAGGCCTGTAAAAGAAGAGACTCCCCAACTGTAGAGATCAATTTGGCAAGCCCAGGACTCAGGGGTTCCTCGTCACTGACAGAGAGTTTTCTCCTTCAGCAACCAGAGCTGGGGTCCCTGGGAGAAGCGAGAGCACCAAAGCAGCCCAGAACTGCGCAAGTAGGTTCCCGTACACACACATCTGGCTGTGACCCAAGAGGCCAGATCAGGAGAACTGGAGACTGGGCTGTTTCTCACAGTCTGGAGTAACCAGGCATCAGACATCCCTGCATCTCACCTCCTTCCCAGAGGGTGGCTTCCGAGGCACTCTAAAAAGAACTAAGTTCTCTGGACTCTGTGGAAGCTTTGAAGATGTTAAGAATGGGTGACAAGGAATAGTTCCTCTAAACTCTAAAGCATGGCTCTCCAATATAATTTTCTGTGACGATAGCAATGTCCTGAGTTGGTCCTGTCTGATACAGTAGCCACCAGCAGCCACCTGTGGCTGTTGAGCACTTGAAATGTAGATAATGTGGCCAGGCGCCCTGGCTCACGCCTGTAATCCCAACACTTTGGGAGGCCGAGGCGGGTGGATCACTTGAGGTCAGGAGTTCGAGACTAGCCTGGCCAACATGGTGAAACCCCATCTCTACTAAAAAGACAAAAATTAGCTGGGCGTGGTGGTGCACGCATGTAATCCCAGCTACTCAGGAGGCTGAGGCAGGAGAATCGCTTGCTTGAACCTGGGAGGCAGAGGTTGCAGTGAGCCGAGATCGCGCCATTGCACTCCAGCCTGGGTGACAGAGCGAGACTCTGTCTCAAAAAAAAGAAAAAAAGAAAAAGAAAAAAAGAAAATGTAAATTAAAATTAAACAAAATTTAAAAATGTGTTCCGCAGTAACATCTACTTTTTTTTTTTTTTTTTTTTTTGAGACAGAGTCTTGCTGTGTCACCGAGGCTGGAGTGCAATGGTGCGATCTCGGCTCACCACAACTTCCGCCTCCCAGGTTCAAGTGATTCTCCCTGCCTCAGCCTCCCGAATAGCTGGGATTACATGCGTGTACCACCATGCCCGGCTAATTTTTGTATTTTTATAGAGACGGGGTTTCACCATGTTGGCCAGGCTGGTCTCGAACTCCTGACCTCAGGTGATCCGCCCACCTCGGCCTCCCAAAGTGCTGGGATTACAGGTGTAAGCCACTGCACCAGGCCTAATATACATTTTAATAGCCACATTTGGCTAATGGCTAGTGTATGGGACAGAGGAGCTCTAGGGCCTTGAGGATAATGGGCTTAGCTATGCAGCTATGGAGGAGAAACAGGGACCTGTCCTCAGTGGCTTTGTGGGTGGCCAGTATCGGGGATGGGCTGGGGTGGATGTCCTCAAACAAACACAGAACATTTCTCTCGCCTCTTTATTCCTGATGCACTTTTGTCCCCTCTTTGTCCAAGGTTCTCATCACATTCTGATATCCCCACTCCTTGATGGTTTCCCCGAGTTGCTGGGTGCCTCTTGATGAAGGCGCCTAGGAGACAGAGCTTCACACTTGTCCTTGCCCACTGCCAACCGTCTCTGACGGGCATCAAAAACCACATGCCCTGCCTGGGTGCCTGGTCCAGGGCAGTGGGACTTCCAGTTGATATGGGTAGGCATAGACATCTGACGATAGTTCTGGTAGCCTGAAGGAACTGTATCCACAGGGCGGTACGCCCCGTGCTGGCTGCCTGCCCGCCAGGAGGATGACTGCAGCTCAATTAATACAGGTACCTCTGAGAAGGTCTGCAGGTCATTGGAGACCACTTGGGCCTTGGAAGGGCAGGAGTTCTCATTGAGTTGGACACGAGCCCAGAGGACGTGCCGCTGTGCGTCCTCCTTCTGAGCAGCCTTCTCAGGCACAGATGACTTCATCAGGGACAGTGTGGACTTTGGGGTCTGAAGCAGGGACAAAAGCTGGACAAAATCAGAACCTAGGGCAGGGCTTGGGTTCTTGTAGAGGCTGGGATCTGGGATGAGGCATGAGCTCTTGTAGGGGCCAGATTCCTGGGTAAGGCCTGAAATCTTGGGGAGGCCAGAGTCTTGGACAAGGGCTGGGTCTTTATGGGGGCCAGGATCTTGATTAATTCCTGGGCACTTGTGGAGATTAGAGTCTTGGCTATGTTCTGAGCTCCTGTAAACTCCAACATCTTGGGGAAGGCTAAATCTTCTTTCAACTTTAGTGGCTTGGGTAAGGCTTGGGAGGTTGGAATCTTGAGTAAGGCCTTTAACTTTGTGGCCACCACAATCTTGGATAAGTCCTGGATTCTTGTAGTCTCCTGAGTTTTGGGTAAGGCCTGAGCACTTTGGGAGGCCAGAGGTTTGGACAAGGCCTGGGCTCTTGTGGAGAAAAGATTCCTGGATAACTCCTGAGCTCTTATTGACTTCAGAGTCTTGGGGAACATACGGACCCTTCTGTGATCCAGAATCTTCAGTAAGGCCTGCGGTACTACAGACTCCTGGATCTTGGACATTGCCTGTATTCTTGTGACCTCCAGAATCTTTAGAAGAGCCTAGGTTCTTTTGGTGGTCAGTTGCTTGGGAGAGATCTTGATTTTTGTAGATCACAGTCTCTTGGTTTGGTTCAAGATTCCTATAGATTCCAGAGTCTTGTGTAAAGCCTGAGCTCCTCTGAAGATCAGAAGTTTGGGTAAATGGTGTTTTCTTGTGGAGGCCAGGGGATTGGGTGAGACATGGGCTCCTAAGGATACCAGCTTCTTGAGTCAGACCTGTGTTCTTTTGGGGGTGGGAATCTTGAGTAATGCCTGAATTCTTGTGAAGACCAAAGTCTTGAGAAGGGCTTGGATTCTGGCAGAGATAAGAATCTTGGGGAAGGCCTGGGAACTCATGTAGGCCTTGATTTGGAGCAAGACCTGGGTTCTCGTGGAGGCCTGGATCTTGGGTAAGGCCTGGGTTCTTGTAGAGGTCTGGGTTTTGGGCAAGGTCCAGATTCCTGGGAACTCTGGAGTCTTTTGAAGGGCCTGGGGTCCTTTGAAGGCCAGAATCTTGGGTAAGGCCTAGACTCTCATGACATTCAGGGCATTGGGGTTGGATCAGGGGTTGGGAAATGGTGGCGAACAGGGAAGGGATGGGGAATTGGGAAGTGAGGATGGACTGAGGAGACTTGGAGGTTGGAAGAACAGTAGGGGTTTGTATTAAGGTGGAAGGCCTCTGATGGTTGGTGGGTTGAGGAGGGACAAAGGATCTGGGAGGAACGAGAGGCAGGGAAAGAGTGAACGGTGGAGGAAGGGTGCACACTGAGCTCTGGGCAGTGGTTGCAGAATGAAAGCAAGTCTTGGCACATGCAGTATCCCGGGAGTAGGCAAGGAATTTGGGGTAGAATGGAGCCTGGGAGTCTGTGTTCTTCTCAGAACTGCAAGGATGGAAGCTGCAGTAAGGGGAAGTCTTGGTCTGGGGGAACTTATCTTTGGCATCATCTGAGTTCTTCCATTCCATATTCCTCAACTCCAGGTAGCCCAGTATGGATCCTGCAGGAAGCTTGGCACTATCCCCACTGCATTGCTTTGTTTGCTCAGATATGCCAGAACTCACCAGGTCCTGACCCTCTTGGGGCCTGAAGAGGGTAGCCAAGTCTTTTCTTGAATACTCAGGGTTCTGGGGGCTGGACATATGGAAGAAATTCTGCTTTTCCCTGCGGGCATCATAGACCACATGGCCAGTGGAGAGGTCATGGCTGAAGGCAGGTGGGGTAGAGGGTATAGGAGTTATGATAGGGGCAGGGGTGGTGGCAGGGACAGGATCAGGGACAGGAGTGGTAGTCAGGGCCATGACCAGTGCTGGAGCAGGGCTGGGGGCAGAGGCTGGGACAGGGGCTGGTGTTGGAGCTAGGACAGGAGTAGTGGCTGGGGCAAGAGTTCCGGGAGGAGCTGGGGCAGAGGTTGGGACAGGAACGGAGCTGCGGACTAGATGAGAGTGGTCTGGGATATACGCTGGGGCATGGGCTGAGGTGTACTCAGGGGCATGGGCCTGGGGGTGGGCTGGGACAGGCATAGGAGCCTGGGCTGGGGAGTGGGCTGAGGTGTGTTCAGGGCTGTGGGCCTGGGAGTGAGTATACTCAGGGGTGTGGGGCGGAGAGTGGGTTTGGGCCTGGGCTGACGTATGGGCTTTAGTGTGAGCTGAGGCCTTGGCCGGTGTAGGGGCTGGGGTGTGAGCTTGGATGTGGGCTGGCGTCTGAGCTGGGGTAGGGGCTGAGGTGTGGGCTTGGGCCTGGGCTGAGGTGTCCTGGGCCTGGGAGTGGGTGCCCTCAGGGGTGCGGGCTTTGGAGTGGGTCCAGGAGTGGGCAGGGGTGTGCACAGCGGTGTGGTCCGTGGAGCGGGTCCAGGGGTGGGTTGGGGTGCACACAGGAGTGTGGGTTGGGGAGTGGACCTGGGCCTGAGCTGGGGCCTCGGCTGGGGCACAGTCTGGGGTCTTAGTCTTGCTCTCTTGGGGCAGGTGGCATGGACCCGTGTCCAACTTGCTCATCTTTGGGAACTGGGAAGATGTCTCTGGCCTGGAGAGCAAGGAGGCTTGAGCCTTTGAGGCTGTGACCTGAGGGGCTTCTCCCCCGCCCATCATCCCCGCCTTGTACAGTCCCCGTGCAGACTCCCTGGGAACGCCGGCATGTCCACATTTAGGGGGCACGCAGCAGCACGCAGAAACCTTCTCATCGTTCGTGTCTGGTATCCAGGAGTCAAGGTGGTTAACGCGCCTGAGCAGGAAGCCTGGGCGAGGATGGACGCGGGAAGAGACTTTTGAGCACAGGTTCTTGGGATCCACGGAGGAGCAAATACATATGGGATGGCTGCCGCTGGGCTGCTTGTCTGCAGGGAGAGGTAGGATGGGGACAATGCCCGGGTTCCCTAGGGACTAAGAACTGGGCCAGGGATAGGAGAAAGGGGACAGGCCCATATCCCTGGGAGCCCATACAGGGGCCCACTCACCTTTGGGGAAAAAATGACGGAAAAGAATCCGCAAGGAGCTCTTCAGATGCTTCCAGAGCTGAAGGGAGTGGGAGGGCAGGTGAGTCCGGAAGCAGGGTGAGCCCCTAAGTCCAACTCTTATCTGGCCACACCCCAACAGCCCTCCCACCTCAGCCCCTTCAAGACCCCAGGGCTCCCCCAACCCTGCTACCCAGATCCTGCCCTGACCAGAGTCACCACATTGATCCACACGTTGAGCAAGATGAAGCTGCCCAGAAGAAGAAGAATCGAGTCTCCTAAGTCCTGGCACTTCCTGGGGTTGGTGCCAGAGCACACCTGGGCCCCATGATAGGCTCGCTCACCCATGGCCTGGGGTCCCAGGACTGCCTAGGCCCCCGGCCCTCACACAGTCACTAGGAGCAAGACTCCTGTTGTTGGGGAGGGGGTGGACTGAGTCATAATGAGGCAGGTGGTCAGGGTCACAATGAGGAACGTCGAGGAAGAGGAGGGCCCAGGGTGGAACTCTCTGGTAACCAGGTTTGAGTAACCAGGTATGGACAGGCAAACAGGGTCTGGAAGCCAGTGACCCTCTCCTGTTTCTCCATCGTTCTCTACTGCTGGGTGACTCACTCACTCTCATTCCATCACTCCTGCAGTTTCTTTCTTTCTTTCTTCCTTTTTTTTTTTTTTTTTGAGATGGATTCTTGCTCTGTCATCCAGGCTGGAGTGCAGTGGTGCGATTTCGGCTCACTGCAACCTCCGCTTCCCAGGTTCAAGCGATTCTCTGCCTCAGCCTCCCAAATAGTTGTAGCTGGGACTACAGGCATGCACGACACCTGGCTAATTTTTGTATTTTTCGTAGAGATGGGGTTTCTTTCTTTTTTTTTTTTTGAGATGCAGTCTCACTCTGTCACCCAGGTTGGAGTGCAGTGGTGTGATCTCAGCTCACTGCAACCTCTGCCTCCCGGGTTCAAGTGATTCTCCTGCCTCAGCCTCCCGAGTAGCTGGGACTACAGGTGCCCACCACCACACTCAGCTAATTTTTTGTATTTCTTTAGTAGAGACGGGGTTTCACCGTGTTAGCCAGGATGGTCTCAATCTCCTGACCTCGTAATCTGCCCACCTCAGCCTCCCAAAGTGCTGGGATTACAGGCGTGAGCCACCACGCCCGACCAAGACAGGGTTTCATCATGTTGGCCAGGCCGGTCCCGAACTCCTGGCCTCAAGTGATCCGGCCTCCTAAAGTGCTGTACAGGTGTGAGCCACCGCACTCGGCCACTCCTGCAGTTTCATTTCAGAATCCTGAATCCTTTACCTCTTGACCACACCAGAGACTGGGGAGACCTCCGCCTCAGAGCCTTGGGGAAGGCATGGCTGGAATCCAGAGCCTTGGCCTGGTCCTGTACCATGTGCTAAGTAAATCCCAAAGAGCTCCACTCAAGACACTGAGTTCAGAATCCAGACCTGATCCTTGCTGGAAACAGGGAGAATAAAGAGCCTGGGTGGTTGTCGTCAGCCAGTGCAAGAGCTACGTAGTGCATGGTGCAGACTAGGAGGGCCTGCTGGCAGCCGCGTGGCCACTAAGCCAAGGGGTGCCTCACACCAAGAAGGGGACACTGGTTTCTCATTTCAGGAAGCCAAGGGCAGGGACCCAGGCTGGCCGAAGGAGTGGCACTCCCACGCTACAGACCACCACAGTGTTTCCTGGACTCTGTTTCTCTTTATTCCTCTCCCTCCATGCCCTGCCCCACACCCCACATCCGCCTGCTGGTCAGTTGAGTTTCTCGGTCTGGCTCCTGTGCAGAGAGGGCCTCAAGGTGGAGGTGGAAGCCGGTGGCAGTGAGCTGGACCTGGCTCTGCTCTTCTGCACCTGCCGCTTCAGCTCCAGGCTGTCGTACACCTGGTAGTTGGCATTGCCCCCTGGATTCCGGCTGAGTGGGACAAACATGGTCGGGGGAGGGGCAGGGTCCGCAGCCTGGACTTTGGGCCAGGGCTGGGAGGAATGGGGGACCAGCACTGAGCTTGGAGCTGGGGTCCGTTGATGGGAGGCCTCGTCCAACACCGTGAGGGAGGCAGAGGTAGTCAGAGGACGCCAGGCGGGCAGAGCCTCAGCCCAGTCAGCTGCCCGACGCCGCACCTCACGGGGGTCCTGGGAGCTGTAGCCCAAGGGTTCCGTGGATGGGTGGGGACTGCGGTGGGACTGGCCATAGGCGTGACCAAGCAGGCTCTGCTGGTGGGACTGTGGGGAGTGGTGCTCCCGGCAGCCCTGGGCCTCAGGCCGGGCGTTCCGGGACACCGAGGCAGGGGGGCGCTCAAAGCCCTCCGTGCCACGACGCCGCTGATCCCAGGAGTCATACAGCATCCAGCCCACTGAGGGGTAAGGGCTGTGCCCCACGGGGACCCAAGAGGGGTTAGGGGGCAGCCGGTGGGGAGGTGGTGGAGACGAGGCCCACTGCTCAGCCTCCACATTGCCCCACAGTCGGGATTGGGAACCGTGGCGCCCATAGGACTGCAGCCTCAGCTCAGACCTGGCCTCTACACGCTTGGGCATGCAGCGCAGCTCAGGTGACAGGTAGAGAGAGGGTGGTGGCAGACTGGCCAGGATACCACCCTGGTGGCCCCACAGCCCCACATTGGAGGGCAGGCCCGCTCTCTGATAAAACCCGCCCCAGCCGCGACGTGGGTACTTGGGATACGGGAAGGGCAGGTTGTCCTCCTCCTCCAGGTAGGAATCCGGGTCCTCCTGATCAAAGAAAGGCACTCGGTGTAGTTGTGACATCTTTTGGCTGCGATGTGGGTTACGGAAGACTGAGTGGCTATGGGGGATTTGTCTGTAGTTCTGCGGCCGCTGCTGGTGGTTGCAGCAGCGACGGCGACAACGGCGGTGGCGGCGGCGGCGGCGACGAACACAGCGAAGAAGACTGCTACTGTGATGGTTGGAGAAATGGTGGCAGGAGAAAGAGGAGTACTGCGTGGGTCGGGACATCTTCACCTGCACAGGGTCCAGGATGCAGTGGATGTGGACATCCTGAGCCTTGTCTGGGGGACCACTTGGGGGACTTTCACTGGCCTGAATTTCATCTGGGGAAGGCAAGAGTCCATGAAGTCAGGGCAATTGTCAGAAGAGCTCAAGGTTGGGAACACTGGGGCCTGGGTTTCTAGGGCCATTGTCAGGGGTGGGGATGGGGGTCCCCTACCTCTCCAGCAGCCACACTTACTTTTCTGAGTAGCCCAATCAATCATCTTGTCTAAGGCGTTCTGGAGTCCATGCCACATCTGGGGCAGGGTGGAAGAGAGTGAAGGCCAGGCCCTCCGCGCCCAGCACCACCACCCCTGCCCCCGCCCCAATCTAGACCGCACCTGCAGGTGGAGATGTAGGCTGCAGCTGGCTCCCACCCTTGGCCCTGTTCACCCCCAGAGGTAGTCCACAATCATCACTGACCATAGTTGCCACGTTGATGCCAATGTTGACAAGAACGATGAGGCCCAGCAGCAGGAGTAAGATGTCCTCGGCATCGTGGGGGCTTTCTTGGTATTGATTGCAACATCTCACGGTGTTATGCCATAGCTGGTTTTCCATGGAGGGGGGGTCCTAGGGCCACCTGGGCCACCCCCCTCTGCCCCCCACCCCCGGCCCCAACCCACACTGCACTCATGCCAATCCCCGGAGATAACTACAAGCTGGTAAGGGAGCCAGGTCACAATGAGGTGAGCTAGCGAGAGTCACAATGTGGAGGTGGCAGCTTTTATCCATTCTGCTGGCCCCTTCTACCGCCATCTCCACCCTTGGCTCCTACTTGGTGGAGCCTGGTCCCCACATATCCCAGATCTCAGTCTGTTCCTCTATCTCCACGAGGTTTGCTTAACCCCACAGCTGGTTCCTGAGCTGAAGATAGGGTAGTTAGAGGCTGACACGGTCGTCACAGGGTTGAAGCATGCATCAGATATGTCCTGTTTCATTGTTCTTTTGAGACATTATGGCAACTTACATAGCCTGTTGGCGTGCCTTGCCCCATGGTTACTTTGGGGCCAGCATCTAGGGTGACTAGATGGGCGGGTGACACTGCGTCCCCTCAGGCATCACCCTGCTGTACCAGCCCCTCCCTACTCTGCCCATTTCCCTGTCAAAAGTCCTCTAGCTCCCATCTCTGCCCAATTCTTCCTGGCCAGACTCCAGCCCTAGGTGTTGGTGGTCCTTGAGCCCACCAGCCACTTCGTCACACTGACATCTGACTCACTGAGGTGGCTGCCTCTGCTGGGAACCAACCCCAGCCATGGTTTCTCCAACCTAACCACCTACACTCCCACCAACCCACCCTTACTCCAAGGTGAAAAACGGTTAAGCTACTACCTGAAGAAAACCCGAGCTGGGCGCGGTGGCTCATGCCTATAATCCCAGCACTTTGGGAGGCTGAGGTGGCTGGATCACCTGAGGTCAGGAGTTCCAACCTGGCCAACATAGTGAAACCCCGTCTGTATTAAAAATACAAAAATTAGCTGGGTGTGGTGATGCGCGCCTGTAGTCCCAGCTACTCGGGAGGCTGAGGCAGAAGAATCATTTGAACCCAGGAGGTGGAGGTTGCAGCAAGCTGAGCTCTCGCCATTGTACTCCAGCTTGGGTGACACATCGAGAATCTGTCTCCAAAAAAACAAGAAAGGAAGGAAGGAAGGAAGGAAGGAAGGAAGGAAGGAAGGAAGGAAGGAAGGAAGGAAGGAAGGAAACTTGCTGGGCGCAGTGGCTCACGCCTATAATCCCAGGCAGGTGGACCACCTGAGGTCAGGAGTTTGAGACCAGCCTGGCCAACATGGCGAAACCTCTACTAAAAACACAAAAATTAGCTGGGCATGTTGGTGGGCGCCTGTAATCCCAGCTACTTGGGAGGCTGAGGCAGGAGAATTGCTTGAACCTGAGAGGTGGAGGTTGCAGCGAGCCAAGATCGCGCCACAGAAGTCCGGCCTGGGTGACAGAGTGAGACTGTCTCAAAACAAACAAACAACCCAACAACAACAACAACAACAACAAGAAAACCACATGAAATTAACAAAGCACAAAATACATGTAATTGTTAATATACCAAAAAGAGTGTTTGACTTAAAACAGGTGCATCACTGGGGTCTGTGGTGCCCTGGAGACTGCAAGCCATTTGTTTACACAGTGAACCACTCAGCAGAAAGAAAGGCCAGTGATCATATCCCATCCAGCCTCCAAACACAGAGTAGATGCAGAGTAGATTCAGATTCCACTGAATGGAATCCATTGAAAATGATCAGTAACGTTAGTTGAATGAGAGAAGTAGGGCCATTTGTAAACGGTCCGTCTGCTCACATTCCAGGAATCTGTCTAGAGTGGAAGGTGAAGTCCAGCTCCCTCAGCCTGGGCTCACGCACACAGCTGCTTGTTCTCAAGTGGTATGTGTGTGCATGTGCATATGATCCCAATTGTGTAGCAGAAAGGCAGGGCCTGAGTTTCTCTGTTTCTCAGTTTCTGAGTTCACATGGTGAACTGGGGAAGGTGGGAGGTTCTGGTGGGTCAGGCTGGCTCTGCAGCAATGGGATGGAGCATCTGAGGCCATGAGCTTGATCCTCAGTGTCTGTGTAACCATGAGCAAGACCCTTAGCTTCTCTGAACTTAGTCTCCTCACTGGTGACATGGTGAGTTAATCAAAGGAGTGAGGTCACAGAGAGCTGTGATGTTACAGTGAGGTACCTCTTGAGGGGGGCCCCAATATTTCTCTTCTTTTTTTTTTTTTTTGAGATGGAGTCTCGCTCTGTTGCCCAGGCTGGAGTGTAGTGGTGCAATCTCGGCTCACTGCAAGCTCCGCCTCCTGGGTTCACACCATTCTCCTGCCTCAGCCTCCCAAGTAGCTGGGACTATAGGCGCCCACCACCACGCCCGGCTAATTTTTTGTTTTCATATTTTTAGTAGAGATGGGGTTTCACCATGTTAGCCAGGATGGTCTCAATCTCCTGACCTTGTGATCTGCCCGCCTCGGCCTCCCAAAATGCTGGGATTACAGATGTGAGCCACCACGCCCGGCCTTTTTTTTTTTTTTTGATGGAGTCTCGCTCTGTCGCCCAGGCTGGGGTGCAGGGGCGCCATCTTGGCTAACTGCAACCTCTGCCTCCCACGTTCACACCATTCTCCTGCCTCAGCCTCCCAAGTAGCTGGGACTACAGGCGCCCACCATCATGCCCAGCTAATTTTTTTATTTTTTATTTTTCATTTTTTAGTAGAGACGGGGTGTCACTGTGTTAGCCAAGAGGTCTCGACCTCCTGACCTCGTGATCCGCCCGCCTCGGCTTCCCAAAGTGCTGGGATTACAGGCGTTAGCCACTGCGCCCAGCCAAGGGGGCCCCAATATTTCCTCCTCTGCTCCAATCCTGCTTAAGGGTATAGGACCTTCAGGGTGACTGGGGAACTGTGAAGGACTAGACGCCCTCTCAGCCATCCCTCCCCAAATAAATCAGGGCTTACGTGGGAACCAGGCCTCACCGGTGGCTGCAGCCTAACGCTGGGCTCTGGCAGGCACCAGCCTTCTGAGGAGCTAGGGCCATGGAGATGGAGATCTCTCCTCTAGTGCACGACTGCCTGGGGACCTGGGGTAGAATTTAGGGGCTTCTCTGTGCACTAAAGAAAACAAGGAATTAACTGGGCGTGGTGGTGCCTGTTGTCCCAGCTACTCAGGAGGCTGAGGCAGGAAGACTGCTTGAGCTCAGGAGGTTGAGTCTCCAGTGAGCCATGATTGCACCACTGCCCTCCAGCCTGAGTGACAGATCAAGACCCTGCCTCAGGGGAGGGGGAGGAAACAGTCCGGGCACAGTGGCTCACACCTGTAATCCCAGAACTTTCAGAGGTTGAGGCAGGCAGATCGATTGAGCCCAGGAGTTTGAGACCAGCCTAGGCAAAGTAGTGAAACCCAATCTCTACAAAAAATAGTGGTGCGGCTGGGGTGGGGTGGCTCACACCTGTTATCCCAGCACTTTGGGAGGCTGAGGCGGGCGGATCACCTGAGGTCAGGAGTTCAAGACCAGCCTGGCCGACATGGCAAAACCCCATCTGCACTAAAAATACAAAAATTAGCAGGGCATGGTGGCACACGCCTGTAGTCCCAGCTACTCAGGAGGCTGAAGGCAGGAGAATTGGTTGAACCTGGGAGGCAGAGGTTGCAGTGAGCCAAGATTGTGCCATTGCAGTCCAGTGTGGGTGACAAGAATAGGACTCTGTCTTAAAAACAAAAACAACCCCCCCCACACAAAAACCAACCAACCGAACAAACAACAACAACAACAACAAACTAGTGGCCCATGCCTGTAGTCCTAGTGACTCAGGAGGCTGAGGTGGGAGACAGTTGGGACTGCAGTGAACTGTGATTGCACCACTGCACTCCAGCCCGGGCAACAGAGAAGACCCTGTCTCAAAAAAAAAAAAAAATTGAAAACAAGGTAGAGGCAGGTAAGAGCCTTGGAACCCAGAAGGGCCTAGGAAAGGCTGAGGACAGGGACAGGCCTGTGGGGCAAAAGGTTAATGAGGGTCCTCAGGGCTCAGGGCCCTGTGGCTAGGGAGAGCATTCTCTTCACAGCCACAGCTTCTAGGTGCTGTGTGGGCCCTGGCACCCCAGCACCACCACAGATCACCTCCTCTCTCCTTTTTATTTTTTTCCAGTCACCTCCCAGTTAGGGAACGGTACACCCAATTCTTGCTTGTCTCCTCGGCAGTGCTGGATCCAGAGGCTAGGGGGTAGCAGCCGGACAGGGCCTCCACCTCCCGGGTCAGTTCCCGAAGCCGCCGTCTCATGTCCCGGGCATCATACACTATTCGGCCTGAGGAGCGGTGCCGGGAAAATTCAGGGATGACTGCTGGGCCCAGGGTGGGAGCTGGGACAGGCTGGTACTGAGCCGCCTCTGCCTCTGGCACCGCCCCCTCCCCACCGTTCTTGTGGCTAGGAGCCTCAGGGCTGGGAGGTGGGGGGTTCACAGGATACACATAGGCCCTTAGGCCCAGCTCGGACCATATGCCTGTTTTGAGGGGCCTTTCCTCTACGGTAGGCTGGAAGCGGATGGTCTGGGGAGGGGACTCTGGGGCATCCTGAGACCAGGGAACCCAGGTCCCCTGAGTGTGTTGGAAGCCTTCCCAGTCCTCAGGGACATCCCAGTGGTAGGAGCAGATGGCTGGGTACTGATGAGGCTTCTCGTCATCAGTGTCAGGAGCCCAAGCTACTGGGCAGTGAGCACAGCGTGTGGGAGAGCCTCGACGGCGATGGCGGTGAGCTGGGGGCGGGGACACAGTCATCATCACAGGGTCCATGGTGCACCGAAGATGGACTGCAGGAGAACTCTGCTTCTTAGGGGGCTGGGTCTGCTTTCTGAGTAATGATGACTTGGGAGCTTCTGTGGATGGGGGAGAGGTGAGACTAGTGGGGAGGCCAGCTCCTACAGGCATGGAGAGGCAGGGCCCAGGAAGGGCAGCCACACAGCTATGTTGTCTGAGAGGGGCGAGCAAGAAGGGAAGGGGCTAATTTAGGGCTGAGGCTAGAGCACTTGGTTTCTGCCCCTCCTATGTCCCAGCCCCCAGACCTCTTACCTTTCTCACAAATGGTATCATGGAACACTTGGTATAAGACACCACGGAATCGGCTCCAGAGCTAGGTGGGGGAAGACACAGTGATCCCAGGTAGGCCCTGGCCGGCAGGCCTGCCCCCCACTATCCCACCAGCTCCCTCCCATCTGGCCCCACCCTGACCAGGGTCACTATATTGATGCTAATGTTAATGCAGATGATGAGGCCCAGCAGCAACAGGACAGAGTTGCCCAGGTCCTGGCAGCTGTTGCTGTTGCAGTTGTGATACGAGGCCCACTCGGGCCTCGGCCGCTCAACCATGGCCATGGGGTCCCTAGGACCACCGGGGCCCTTACGCCCCCAGCCCACCGTGCCGACAGTGTCCACTGACTGCCTGCCTGTCCCTGAGGGTCTTGGGAGTGAACGGGTCACAATGGTGCCAGGCCACTCCCTTCCAGTGTGCCAAGGGGCTACCCTGAGTCCTGGACCCGTGGCTGACCCTCTCGCCTGAGTCCAGGCCTTGGCAGAGGCCATGCCTCTCACCTCACATACCTCTGCTGAGCTAGCTGCCTACACCAGCCCACTGGGCCTCTGGCCTGTTTGACATCTGCCCCCATCAGCCTTTGTCCTTCCATTATAGAACGACACCAGGCTCCAGTCTCGGCATAGACACGGGTCCTGACATTCATTTGCCAAACAGACCCATTACCATGGCAACCAGACCCCAGCACACACTCCCCCTTCCTCTCAGACCTCAGAGCTGGTCACTGAAAAGACCCCTCCTCCCTCGTCACTTCCCCAGGGCTTGTTTCTTTAGAGACCGCCCTCCCCACAACAGAGCAGGCACAACCAACAGTTAAACTTTTATATTTACAATATTCTCTTCATCTTTTGCCAGGTTTAAAAATGTGTACAGAGCCGCAAAGGGTTGGGGTAGGGATAAGGGATTGTCGGGATTGTTTTGGGGAGAGGAGCTGGGCATTGGAGTCCGTGGCTGAATCATGGGGTCCCCCAGCCCCCCTCCCATGCCCCAATTCTGAGGGCATCTGTCTACAGGGTTCAGGGCCCAGGTCTCTAGCATTTGGAGGGCATGGCTGTTTGGAGAGGAGCTAGACCAGGCAGGGGAAAGGATCAGAAAATAACTAATTTTCCATGGATGGAGGTAGGAAGAGAAGGGACAGTCAAGAGGCAAAGTTCTGGGGACTCAAGACCAGGGATTCTGGATTTGGGTGTCAGTGGAAGACAGCACCCCAGCCCCTATTCAAGTTTGGCACTAACACCCCACAAAATGCCAGCAGATGAGGACTCTCCCCTCGTCCACTGTGTCCCTTAAGCCCTTCCAGACATCATTCTTTTCCCAAATGCCCAAGCCCAAGGCCCTCCGGGGAGTCACCTCACACATTTCAAATTATTCCTGCTGGTGTCTGCCCAAGCCCTGTCCCCACTGCCCCCTCCATCTGTTCCCCAGCACCGCTGACCTCATTCTCCCAACCTGTCCGGTGAGACCTTTCTCCCCACTGCCTCCCTCCACCATTCAAGGCTCCTTTCTTTCAGACAAGGAGGGGGCGTGGGTCAGAGGAGGGTGGTCAGCTGAGGAGAAGGCTGGTCTGACACTGAGATGGGGACAGCTTCAAAGAGGGGGACGGAGATGAAGGGGAACGGAGAACTGAGGCAGGGTGGGGGAGACATGGTGAGGAGAAGGGGCACAGGCGGGAGCCCCCTCACCTGCCACATCCCTCGCCCTGTATCCTGCTTGCCCTTAGTTTCCCCTGCCCTGCCTGGGACTGGGAAATTCTTGGCACATTTTGGGAGTCTTTCCGCTCAAATCCACCTACCCAGTTTGGCACGGATGAGCAATGCTCTGAGGCCTGGGGAAAAGGCTGTCCTCGGACCACAATGAGGGCTTTGGTCAAACATGCGTGGCCTCTGCGGGGGGCACGTTGCCACACCCCCTCCCCCCAACTCGGGAGCAAGGGCCGGGCCTCCCTCGGGGTTTGTTCACCCTCCTCAGCTCCTGCCAACTAGAAGTCTGTGCTCACCTGCCATGTGAGGAGGAACTGGGTGCTGGGC
Organism: Homo sapiens; assembly: GCF_000001405.40. Taxonomy (NCBI): domain Eukaryota; kingdom Metazoa; phylum Chordata; class Mammalia; order Primates; family Hominidae; genus Homo; species Homo sapiens. The sequence goes on along the minus strand of NW_016107299.1, from coordinate 39,098 downwards.
CTGAGGCCTGGGGGAGGCAGGGAAGTGCTGGGAAGAGAGGGGCCGTCTGCCTGGGGAAACACACATCCACATGCAAGAACCTGTTTCCACTCAGAGAAATGCGTCCTGGCCACGGGAAAATAAGCTTCCAGGCAGCATCAGGATGCGTGGACTCCTCCCTCCCCCAGCAGGAAATCTGTGTCTGTCCTCTCTGGAAGGTGAGGGCCTCCCCGGCAGAACGTGCTTCATCTGACTTGTGCCAAGGGGGGCGTCGGGGGGAACATGCTTCGCCGGGGTAGGGGCAAGGGAGGCAGGGGCGAGGGGGCTGTGATTTCCTCGCTGCTTCCCAGGCTCCATCCTCTGTGGTCTGGTGGCCAAGGGTCACTGTATGTGAACACACCACTTCCAGGGTCTCCAGGGGGAGGGAGAGGGGAGGAGGTGGGAGAAGGGATGGGGGAACAGGATTCTGGGGTACAAATCCCCACAGAAATTCTTTGAGGGGGCCAACATGTGTCCAGGGTGGCAAAAAAAAACCTCACCCTGCACATGGGAAAACACACCCCGTTGTGAGAAAGCACACCTCCACGCGGGAAAATACCACATTCCACACACCGAAGACTGGTGTCCCAATGGGGGGGAGAAAACGCCCCCCAGTTGTTCAAAGGCCCAGATCCAGAGAAGAGACTGGGCTTCTCTGCGTGGGAAAGACACGCATCGCAGGGAGGAATCCCATGTCCACCTTAGCGCTGCTGGATGGCGTGTGACGACTCCACAGGAGAAAAGCCAGTTGCCAAGTCCTCCTCCCTGCCTTCGGAGTGGCCGGGCCAGGGAGGGCCGGGGAGGAGGGCCTCCCCACCCACCCCCTATACCCGAGTGGTGGAGTGGGGGTGGGGTAGCGTGTTGTTGTGGCTGGTGGCGGTGGGAGGGGGCGGGGGGAAGGGCCCGAAGGGATGAAGGGAGGGGGGCGGTGGGGGTGGCGGTGGCCCCAGGCCACTGGGCAGCAGGGTCAGGGCCCCGGGGGCCAAGAGAGGCACATCGTCCGGTGCCCGGCGCAGGGCCAGGGTGTAGTCGGGCGGGCAGGCAGGGCGCAGAGCCTCGGCAGGGTCCGCCCCGACGCCACCACCCCGCTTCAGCTGCAGTGACACCAGCTCCTCCTCTGGTGGCAGCTCACGGCCCGCGGCGGGGAGCAGGGGGCCCCCACCAGGCACGCCAGAGCCTGAGCCGCCAGGTGGGCTAAGCCGCCTGCACCGCAGCTCCTGCCGCCGGTCCCGCTTGTAGTAGAGGGCAGCAAAGGCCAGGATGTTGAGGAAGAGGAGGGAGGCACCCACGGCCACGGTGACGCTCAGCTCCGTGGAGTAGTCCCGTGAGTCCCCGGGGAAGCGGTCATAGGCCCTTGGGCCGGGCTCGGGCTCGGGCTCGGGAGGCAGGGTGGCAGGCGGCGGGGGCCGGCGTGTGCCCGGGGCGCCAGCGGGGGGACGAGGCGGCCAGCGCGTGGCGTAGGGAGGCAGGCGCGTGGTGGTGGTGAAGAGCTCCGTGTGCAGGTTGTGCAGGTGGGGCACGAGCTCCAGCCAGAAGGCCACCTTGTTGGCGCGGTAGTTGTCACGCACGCGTGGCTTCAGGCCTATGTGCAGATACTGCTTCTCCTTGCTGTTGAATTTGCTCCACACCACCTCCTCGAAGCGATTGGGCTTGGTGTGGATGAACTTGGTATCCTGCGGCACCGGCTGGTTGGGGTCCCTGTGGGCACAGGAGGGCAGGGAAAGGAGGAGTGAGGGCAAGGCTCTGAAGGAGGGTGGATGGCAGTGGGCAGGGAGACAGACAGAGATGCAGAGAGACAGGGGGACAGCAAGAAAGCCAGAGAAAAAGTCACAGAGGCAGAGAGACACAGATGGATATGAAGAGACAGAGAAACTGCCTGTCTCTTCAGGCAAATAGGCAAATAGGGATGGAGACAGACTGGCAGAGACAGCCAGAAATGCGGGCAGAGGGGCAGGGACACACACAGAGATAGCCAGGGAGAAGCAGAAGCTGAGCCTGAATGAAACACAGACAGGGTCAAAGACACGGGAGGGACAGCCAGAGACAGATACACAGCCAGGCTGAAATCAGCCGGCAGCCAGAGAAAGCGAAAAGTAAGCAGACAAAAGAGAGCAGCAGAGGGAGGTGGAGAGCTGTCAGTGGATTTTCAGAGAGACAGAGACAGAAGTAGAGACACACAAACTCTTACACACACTCAGACACACACACCTGAGCAGTCAGCCAGAGATGCAGAGCCCTAGGGGGGTCGGGCAGGGGGGATCAGGCAAGGAGGAGGGAGAGACAGACGCCAAGCCAAAGCCACTGAGTGGGCCCCCAACTCCCCAGAAAGGACAGCGGCTTCTCTGTCTGATACTGCTGAGTCTCCAACGCTCAACTCCGTGCCTGGCACAGAGGTGTCTGGGTTGGTTTCACTCGAGCAAGAGGGCAGGCCAGAGTGAGTGCCTTAACAGAGGAACGGCGGCCATGTGAAGGAGGGAGGGCCCCGCCCAGCCCCGCCCAGCCCCTCTGGCCCTCACCCAGTCTTGGCGAAGTTGGTCCAGTAGGTCATGACCACGGCACTGAGCATGACGTCATTCTTGGAGAAGTTACAGGGGAAGAGGTCGGTGGCACCCACCATGGGCACGCCAAAGACATAGGGCAGTTCATCCCCGTGCGCCGCATCTGCCCACTCAGGCCGGCCCTCCGCCTGGCAGTGGTGGTAGAAGGTGTAAAAGTAGACGGGAGACTGGTAGTCGGCGTGCAGCTTGGCAGTGGCCACAGCTGGTGCCACCCATTGGTGGTCAGTAAAGAGCGCCAGCAGGGTTTTGCGGCGCATTTCGCCATTGTCCCGGTCGGCCCAGTCTGTGTACATAAACTTGATGGTCTCCCGAAGCACATCCTTGCCTTCCGGGTAGCCATACAGGTTGTCCACAAAGTTGGAGACAGTGAAGTCAAAGGCGCTGGCAGACACACCGTCCTCGCTCTCTGCAGAGTCCTCCACGAACTTGAGGCCCTCTCCCTGGTTGACGCCGATGAGCATGTCGTAGTTGAGGAATTCTCCCTGCTGCATGAGGATCTCAGGGTCATCGGGGACCACGTCGCCATCCACCACGGGCCCAAAGGCGATGTGGTAGCTGGGGAGAAGGGGTCAGGGTCTCACCACCTGCTCACTGGCCTCCTCTTGGCCTGTGGCCTGCTAAGCCCACACGCAGATGCTTCCCTCTACCTGCAAGACCCTTCTTCCCTACTTGAAATCCTCCAGTGGGTCCTTTGGGAGATCTGGCCTCTCTGGAAGTCATCCCAAAGCACTTCATGGCACCCTGTGCTCACCTGCTCTGATTGAGCACCTCCACTGAAGGAAGGCTTGCAAGAGGAGGCCACTTACTGGGGGCCAGAAGCCCATCCCTCCTTGCCAAATGGTATGCCCACAGGCACCTCTCACCTCAGCCTCCTTGGAACCTTGAAGGCCTGGACCCAGCCCTCTCCCACCCCATACCGGGCAGGCTGCACGTCCTGGTCCACCAGCTCCCGGGAGGGCTTCCGGCGCAGACACTCCACAGCTTCAGCGCTGTCCTCTCGGTCACAGCCCACCTTGGCTGCCAGCAGCCGCGTGTACTTGAGCGGCTGGTAGTTGACAGACCAGCTGGAAATGGCGGTGCCACTCTGGGCGATGGCCTTCTGGAACAGCCCTGGCGGGACAGGCAGACCTCAGGCCAGGCTGTGAGTACCGGCCTGAAGGAGAGGGGGGAGTTGGCAGGGTTGGGAAGGGTGGAACAGGCTGGGACACTGCTGGTACCTTCTGAATGGTGGGAGAGGATCAGAAGGTTGACGCAGGAGGCCCCTGCCCCGGAACCAAAGATGGTGATACGCTCGGGGTCGCCCCCAAAGTGGGCGATGTTTTCACTGAGCCAGCGCAGGGCCTGGATCTGGTCCAGGAGCCCATAGTTGCCTTTTGCAGCCTGGTCCCCGGTGCTGAGAAAACCTGGGAGTAGAGAAGAAGAGGGCTCCCTGGAGGTGTCACAGCGCCCCTGCCCCCTTTCTGGGCAGCTCAGTCCAGCCCAGAAGCCATTCTGCTGGATGTGGAGGAACCCTGCCCACCAGGCCCACCTCCCAGACTCCCCCGAGCCCCAGAGTTGGCTGCCCACCCTCACCGAGCACCCCAAGACGGTAGTTGAGCGTGGCTACAATGACGTTGCCATAGGCAGCCAGGACTGAGCCATCGAACATGTTTCCGGTCCCCTCCATGTAGGAGCCGCCATGGAGAAACAGCATCACAGGCTTCTTCCCAGGGTCACGGATATCTGTGTGGGGAGGGGTGGGCAGGTGGGCCAGGGGGTCAGGGACAAGGACACAGTCAGACCGGAAGCAGCAGCGCCCAGCTCCCAGGCCTGCTGAGGACTGGCCTGGAGCTCAGGGGACATGTCACTCCCATCCCTGGGGGGCAAGACCGGATTCCCCTCCTCCCTCCCCAGCTAGCCCTGGCAGACATTCCCTCCCCACCCTCTGCCAGCCTTCCCCGCGGCACTTCTCCAATGCAGACTTTCCAAGAAACCCCGTAGAGGCTGGGGGTGGGCAGTGGCCCTCCTTAGGGCATCTGCTGGATCCAGGGAACCCCCAGCACCCCCGCACACAGCACATCTCCTTCCTGTCCCTGGGAAGAGCAAGCTCCCGAGGCTAGAACTGGAGCTGGAGCTGCTGGGAGGGTCCTGGTGTCTCCTCCGACTCAGGCCTTGGGCCTCCACTCCACATGGCACCCTGGTCGGTGGGTGAGGGGTGCCAGGCCTAGGGTCCCTGGTCTGTGGGTGAGGGGTGCCAGGCCTAGGGTCCCTGGGGCTTGGTCTCCTCCCCGCCCTAATTCCTTTCTAGGTCACCTCCCCAGTCACCATGGCAACCCCCAGCCTAATTACTGTGGCAGGAGGAGGAAGAGCCTGCTTAATGAAGCCAGGGTGCAGCTTAGTTTTGGACACCCCCAAACTGGCCTGAGCCCTGGGTTCTGCACTGGGCTCCTTCCCGCCATACCCCCTGAGGATCCCCTGATCACTGCCACATGTGATCAGGCCCTTGAGTTGCTCCAGATTGGACTGAAGGGTGACTAATTCCAGAGGATGTGGGAGTCTGAGAGTGCTTGCCAGGGTCCCCGAGGCTACAGTATCCTCCCCTGCAGCTCCCCATGATTCAGCCATAGTGCTAGGGCTGGGGTCACCCCTGGCCCACAGGCCCTCCTCTTTCTTGACACTGGCCCTCCCTGCTAGCCTGGATACTCAGCAAACCAAAGCCAGGCCTGGGCCTCCACAGCTGGTCCCCAGCATCTCTGCCCACCTCCCTCATCCTGGTAGAAACATCCCTCCTGCCAGAAGGTCAACCTGCAGGTCACTAAGACATTCTCCTTGACCTCACAGACAGCTTCCTGCCTCCCATCCCTAAGACCCCCTGTGCAGCCCCCATGCTCCTGACTGCTTCCGCCAGAGCTTCTATGTGGGCAGCACCCTCGCTGGGTTCTCCTCAAATCCTGTCCTCTCCTTTGCTCCTGAACCTCAAGTGACCTCCCAGCACTTTCAGGCCGGAATCTCCTTCCCTCCAAGGTCCTGTCCTAATTGTCCTCAGTTCTCCCATCCTCACCCCACCCCTCTCCCAGTGTGAGGGGAGGAGGGGTCAGAAAGGGAAGGAGCAGGAAGAGGGGCTGGGGCGACAAGAATTCAAAACCAACAACAAAAACAGGATCAAGAAAGAAGAAAGAAAGAAAGAAAGAAAAAAACAACCAAAAAGCAAGAAGCTCTCGGGGCAGATTCAACAAGAAAAGAAAAAACAAAAAGATCCATTTTGGGAAAAAAGAAAAAAAGAAAAAAATTCTTTGCATTTTTTTTTCAAAATTTTGTGGTGAAACTTCAAGATATTGGGCCCTGTTTTAAAAAATTGTCAAATTCTTTAATTCACTTCGAATGTTTGCGTTTTCTGTGTCTGACAGGCTTTTGGAAATTGCGACAGGCTTCTGATGTTTCAATGGTGTCATCAATTTGCCAACTTTTAAATTTTTTTTGAACTGTTGTTTTGTTCCAATTTCAAATTGGTTTTTTCAAATGTTACATTTCACAAGTTTCAAAACTGTCCAGATTTCTTTCAAATTCTAAACATTTTAACCAATTCTTTTGAATTTTATTTTTCTGACATTCCAATTTCTTTTTGTTTTTCAGCTTATTTTCACCATGTTTAGCTTTTCTGGCAGGTTTTCTACTGGGTCCAACATTGTTCAAATTTCGTTTGAAGTTTTCATAATTCTTTTTTCCAATTATTAAACATTTTTCTTTTCTTTTCTTTTTCATTTTAGTTGGGAGAACGACTGAGGGGCCTTGAGGGCTGTGGGGACATTTAGTGAGGGGCAGGGCCATGAATGTCCTCTTATAAGCAACCACATGCAGCAGCGGGATTTTTAAATCTACCTGTGTCTGGCGGATTGAGCGTCGCCTCGTCACGTTTTTTTGTGAGCGGACCTAAGACCGGGAACACAAAACAGAGAAAAAAGGACAATTTTGTGGGGAAAGATGGGGGTCGGGGGGAGGTGGTGGATGGGGAGGGGAGGAGAGAAAGCAGAAAAGGGGAGGGTGGGGGAGGCAGAAAAAAGAAGCCAAAAAAAAGCAAAATTTGTTTGCAAGAAAAAGAAACCAAGAAAAGAGAAAAACGTTTCTACAACCCAATTTTGTTCCCCTCCCCAGAAAAAGTCATGCCCCAAAGAAAAGGCTGGTTTTGGGGGGGTGGGGTGCCTGAGTGGGCTGAGGCCTGTCTTAAGACATATCGACTTGGCTGGAAAGGTTTTGGCTTGTCGATGTGTTTGCTAATTGCTGGAAATGAAACAGTGTTAGAGGTGGGGTGGGAGGGGAGGGGAAGCCCACCCAGAGCCCCTGGGAGACCAAGGCCAGCTTGCCACCCAGGCCACCTCTCAGAAGGCCCCCTTCAGGGCCAGCGAAGCACCTGCCTGCCGCCCCCCACAAGGCTGTAGGGAGGAGAGACTGCCGCAGAAAAGACTCTGCTTCCCTCTGGACCACTCTGCAGGGCAGCGAGCAGGACAGGGTTGGGGGGCAGCCTGCCCCACAGCTCAGCCCCAGAAGCCTTCCGCTCCCCACTGGAGGGCTATGGGAAGGTCAGCTGGGGCTGCCCGCCCGCTACCCAGCCTCACCACCAGCACTTCTCGTCTATCCACACTCACAGGCCTGGCTTCTCACCCCAGCTCCCCAGTGTGGGCAAAGCAGGGAAGGGGGTCATCAGGTCTTGCCCTCCGCTCCAGCTCAACCCTCCGCACTCCCCCCAACCTCGTCCCTTACCCAGGCTTCCTCTCCTCCCCCCAAAATGGTGAATTTCCCACCAGGGCCACCAGCCGCTGCCTCCCCTGCCCCTGCTCCACTGCCAAAAAGCACCCCTTCCCCAACGGCCGAGCGGGTGGTTCAGTCCACAGATAGGGAACGAGGAACACAGTGCCCTGAGCCAGCCTGGCACACAGGTGCCAGCAGGTACCGGGAGCACCAGGTTCGCCCAGTGTCAGGGCTTCTTCCAGATTACGGGGTTGGTCAGGGGCGAGCTGGAGCCCAGAGGCCTGGGGGTTCCCCGAGGCTGATTGGTTTTTCCTCAATGGCACAGGGACTGGCACGTGGGTCAAGGCCAAGGATGGGTCAAGGCCAAGGCAAGCTCTGGAAGGCGTCTCCTAAGTGGCAGTGATGGCCCCATGGGGACCCGCTGGGAACAGGGCCTCTTCTTTGTGAGAGGATGGGGTGGGGACAAAGTGAGCAAGGCACGTGTGCACGTGAGTCTATGAAGCGCGTGTGTGTGTGCGCGCGCGCGCCTGAGTCAACCTCTTCCTCCCAGAGCTGGTGTGAAGATTCAGTGAGATCACCTGAATGTGTCAGGCCCCAGGCAGGTCTGCAATCAGCAGTGGCTAAAAATACAGAAGGTGTGGGCAAGGGTGGTGTGGGGGCAGGGGTGGACAACTGTGTGGAGGTGTTGGGGTGGACAGTCCATTGGTGACAAGTGCTGGGTGGATGTTTCACATGGAAGGTGACGAGACAGCACCCATGAGGGGGCCCTGGGGTGTGCAGAGCCTGTGTGAGAGTAGGGAGTGCTGGGATGGGCAGCCCACATGGAGGTGCTGAGGTGAAGGACTCATGATGGGGCAGGCGCTGGGATGGCAGAGGAGTGTGGTGTGCACAGCTCTTCTGTGGAGGGCATTGTACTGGGGGGCACGTGGGGCATGTACTGGGATAAATGGCTTATGGGGAACTAGGGTGCTTCAAATTTGAATAGGATTAGAGTAGATGACGCTCTGTGCATTGTGTGTATGGGTTGTGGGGAGGCGTGGTTTATATGGAGAGGGGTATGGCTGGGATGGGGGATACAGGGTGAATGGTCCATTTGCGAGGTATTGGGATGGACATGGGTGGGTGGAGGTGCATGAGATGTTCCGTGTTTGGCAGGGGGGGATTCTGAGTGCAGGGGGCATGGTGTTGGAGTACTTGTTTGGTGAGTAGGGTGCAAGCTTGCCGGATGTGTTTTCACCACCTGAGGTCCGGTGCAGATGATCTCTAGGTAGGAGTGGGGTAAACAATGATTGAGGAGTGTTGGGGATGTTGGGGACTGTGATGTGAGGGGCCTGCTGAGCACACGGCCCAGGCGCGCAGGTTACTGGATGTGTGGATGTTCTTAAGGCACGTGATCTATATCCAGGGATGCTGGGGAGCACAGGTGTGTGTGGGTGACATGGTACATAGTTTCAGAGATGTACTGGGGGTGTGTGTGATATGAAAGTACTGGGAATTGTGATTGTGGGGTGCTGGAGCACAAGGTCAGTGTACAGGTTGGTTGGGTGATGATTTAATTGTGGAGTAGTTGGGATTTGCCATCTGTTTTGGGACTTGAGCACATGCCGTGGAGGTGCTGGGTATGTACAGGGTACATTAGGAGCTCCTGGGTACCAGGCCTATGTGTAAGGTTGCTGGAAACATGGACTGTGGGAAGCGTGGTGGCAGCGGATGGTCTATACGCAGACGCTGCCATGTTTTGGAGTGGTAAGATGGGTGTCAGAAGAGCCATGCGGGGTGCAGGGGGGTGTTTGTGAGGCTGGTCTGCTGAGATGGCTGGAATCCACCTATTGCACCCTGTTCACACTCTGGAAGGTGTTCTGATTAGTCTTGGAGTGCTGAGGATGGAGGGTGGAGAACTGTCCAGAAGGAATGTGCCAGGGGCTATGAGCAGTCCTGTAGTGAACAAGAGTTCATTAAGAACAGAAATTCAAGAGCCCCAGGGAAGACGGGTGGGCTGTGCTGGCCCTCAGCAAGGAGCTTCCCTGATCCTTCAGGGGCGTACAGGGGTCAAGGGAGAAGAGAAGGACATCGGTACCACTGCCAAGGTGCTCAGCTCAGGCAAGGGGCTCTGGACATGATGTGATAGATGGAAGGCAGCCCTCACCAGCCAGGGGGAGAGGGAGAGCCTGCGTTGTCCTTGGGGTGCAGATGTAGCTAACCTGGGTATTCTGCCAGGAACAAGCCCAGGTCTGGCGGCGGGAGGCGGGGCAAGGTTGGAGTGGGTGTCTGAGCAGAGGATGGATCACCTGATTCCCCCTCCGTGGCCAGGTTGAGATTAGCTGGCAGACTGTGCCTCTTTGGGGAGACAGTGGGTGAGCCTAGTCCAGTGCCTGCCATCCCTACCATGGCCCCCCATGGGCGTAAAGAACTTATGGAGAGGCTGTCTGCAGAGTGTGTGCCTGGGACTGCCTGGAGGCACCCTTACAATCCTCAGGGGGCACGTAGAGGTTGCAGGGACACTCCGTCCCTCACTGCCCCCACAAAGGCCCAGCTCTGAGCCCTAGAGCGGTGCCAGTGCCTGAGGGTCTGCATGTGCGTTTGTGGGCTGTGTCCACGGGGTGCCCGGCTTTGTGCCCGCGCCCTTACCGTCCTCGGTGGGCACGTAGAGGTTGAGGTACAGGCAGTCCTCGCTCTGGTTCTGCACGTAGGTGGCGGCCGCCTCCAAGTTGTCGGTGAACCACACAGGCAGCATGATGGCGGGCAGCGCCCCGTGCAGGTTCTGCGGGCAGGCGGGCGGCAGGGTGGTGGCGTTGCGCACGCCGGGCCACGAGGCGGGCGCCTCAGGCGGCTGGAAGCGGCGGGCGCCCAGGGGCGGCGTGGCGTAGGGCACGCCCAAGAACTGCACGACGGGGCCCAGGATCTCGTTGTTGAGCTCGCGCCGCACACCGCGCACTCGCCCGTAGGCCGTGTTCACCACCGGGAAGCGCTCCTCGCCGAGGCTGCCGAGGCCCAGGCCGGGGCCGCCCGGGGCGCCGCCGCCGGGACCCCCTCCCCCGCGTTGAGCCCCCGCCAGCCCCACCAGACACAGCGCCAGGAGCCACATGCTGATCGGGGGACCCCCCCTCCCTCCCTGGGACCCCCCCCCCTCGGAGAGAGAGAGAAGGGGGGGAGAGGGAGGGAGGCCCCCCTCGCCCCAGGAGGGAGGAGGGGCGGGGGGAAAGGAGGGAGGAGGGGGTTGGGGAGGGACCTGGGTTAGACTGGACAGAGAAGGGGTCTGTTCCTCTCCATGGAGGGGGCACGGGGTGGGGAAGGGGAAGGAAATGGGAGAAGGTGAAGGCAGGCCCGACCTGCGGGGGGTGGAGCGAGAGGGGCAGGGAGGCAGGATACAGACAGACGGACAGACAGAAAAATACAGAGGTGGAAGAGGGCAAGGGAAATTGGATGGGGCAGACAGAAAGGAATGGGGAAACAGAAGAGACAAGTGGTTAGTGACCTGGAATTCAGACCAAGTTGCCCCCTTCTCCCACCCACAGGCCCCCTGACACCTCCCCACTCCCACCCAGCAGCCCTTCTCCCCTCAGCAGACGCCTAGGTTGGGGGTGGGGCCCAGATGTGGTTCAAGTCCAGGACCCAGCCAGAGGAGAGGCGGGTCAGCTCTCCAGACCCAGCATGCTCCCTTCCAGCTGATGTATCCCTCCCAGGCAGGTTCTCCTCAGGGACTCAGGAGTCCCAGCTCCCACCTCCCTGGGAGGGAATGAGGTAGACAAGGAAGAGAAAACAAAAATACCAAGTCATTAATTAGCTGGAAGAGGCAGGTTTGTTTATATGTGTTAATTACTCCTGAGCTGTAATTTCATGGCGCTGAACCCCCACCCCAGGCCAGACTCAGGCCTTTCTTGGGACTGCACAAACCTAGCACCTTATCCCCACTTCAACACACCATTCGCTAAGGATTTGTGCTGCCTGCGACCCCTCTCTCCCCAGACTCTCTCCATTTCCTCCGTCAGAAGTTGGGGTACCTTGAGGCTGGGGTTAGAGTAGGGAGGGGACGCTGGAGGGGCAAATCCAGGGACAGATGCGTGATCCTGCAGCCGGTTGCCGGGTGACGGGATGCTGCCCCGCAATGTTACCTCGGCAACGGGCTGCAGCTTTAACCCTGGAGGGGGGTTCTGGAGGAAGACGGGAAGGGGCTGGCTTGGTTTGGTGGTCCATTCAGGGCATGAAGGGGAGGGCAAAGGCGTGAGTCAGAATGCAAGAGTTCCCCCCAACCTTAACATAGAGGAAGAAGTATATATGTTGAGAGGAGGGGGAGATTGGGGGCACCAAGAACGCTAAAAGCCCTGCCTGTTGGCCAATCAAAGCCTAGCCTTAGTGACCAGGCCTCTGGCTTGGGAGAGGGGGTGCTGAGGTGGGCTTGAAGAGACATCACAGGAGCCTACTGACTGCCCCCCTCCAGCAATTTCAAGCAACCTTGGACCCCACCACCTTTTCATCTTTGCAAGCCATTGTGACCCATGTCCTGGGGGCAACACTGAGCTTTCTTCTCTTCCCATCCCAACCCATCCATTCACCTACCCTTCCCCTTGCCACCCCCCCTACAGTTGCTGCTCTGATGCCTGGGTGCTCAGGGCAGCAGGGGCCAGCCAAGGGAGAAGATCAGACCGGAGGGGCAGACACCCAGGTCATTTCGGCAAGCCCCCCCCCCGCCCCCCCACCAGCCGCCAGAGCTGTTTGCTGACGCGGGGTTTTCAGAGCCAGGCGCCAGCCCGCGGGTGGCTCTCTGCAGGTGTCAATTTATTCCAGAGATGAGGACACAGGAATCCTTACCACACACACCCAGTCATGCCCCCTGCCTTTCAGCTTCTCTAAGGCTCCTCTATTCCTCCATCACCTGGAGGTGGCTCGGGGCTGATTCCCCCAGGATCTCCTTTTCCTGTGCCAGACTGGGCTCAGCTACCATGGCCTTGCTGCCCCCTCCCCCTCCCCACAACAAGATCTGCCTCAGTCACCCTCTCCTCTTGAGGGTACTCTGGGCCCCTGGCCTCCTCCCACCAGCTCCGCTCCCTCCTTCCCTCCCACTGGAGGCCCCCCCATCTCTCTCCTCTCCGTAGTGCTCCCTGGGAGCATCTTTTGTGGGCCTCTTCCAGCTTGCCCCAGCTCTTGCCTTCAGTCTCTCACCCTCGGTCTTTTTACATCTTTCTCTTCTGTATCTCTCTCCTTGGTGTTTCTCATTTCTTTCTCTCTCTCCAAATGCCTTCCCCAAATTTCCCCCTTAAGCCTTCTGTCTCTCTCTCCTGTCTTTCCCCATCACTGTCTCCCCCATTTTCTCTCCTCATCTCTGTCTGCCACATCTTGCTCCCTCCTCCTTCTCCCTATCCCTCTGCCTTCTCTCTCCATTCCTGCCCAGGCCTGACTCCCCCAGCCGGGGAGAGTTGAGGGACGGGGGCTCAGGCCGCAGGCCCCCCCTTCCTGCAGTGGTGAAAATGGCTTGGCTGGGAAGGGGAGAAGGAGGGGGAGGGGGAGATGGGAACACACGGGGTCTGTGGGCCCATTCAAAGGATCATTCATGGACTGGAGAGAGGCAGAGACAAAGAGACCAAGACGCAGAGACACGGCGAGAGCATCCCTAGGCGGAGACACGCAGACAGAGCAGGCTGGGGGAAACCAGGCGCAGGGAGGGAGATGGGGAGAGGGAGACCCCAGTGGACCGCCACGCAGCCCCCTCCACCGACCCGGCTTAGGTCCTACCTGGCTCAGCCCTGGGGCCGTGGTGCCTCCATCCAGGGCTCCGAGTGGGGGGCGAAAGGCCTTCGGGAGGGGGCGGCGGCCTCTGAGCCCCCGCGGCCCCGCAGGCCCAGCCCCCGCCCGCAGCGCCTCACCCGGCGGGGGAGGGGGATCGCCCCAGCCCCGGGGGGCGGGGCCGGGATCCAGTCGATCCCCGGGAAAAGGAGAGCTAGGGGATGGGATCAGGGGGAGCCCGAGAACAGGGAACCCCGCAGTAGGGACGATAGAGAAAGGAGGGGGCAACGGGACAGGACTAGATTGAGGATCCGCTGGTTCCGTGGGCCGGCTTCGAGGGACCAGAAGGCGGTCCAGGCGGAGGATCCTAAGGATCGGGTGCTGGAGGAGGAGTCCACGTTAATCCCCAGGGGCCCGGGGCCCGGGAGCGCAGGATCCGCGGTGCAGGGGCAGGGATCCAGCCGGAATCCTCGGGGAGGGGGAGGGATCTAGTCGATCCCGAGGGCGGGCGTGAGGGGGAGGTCCGGGGAGTCAGAGGAGGGCGGGAGCCGAGTCCAGAGCCCCGGGGCGGGGGTCAGCGCGGATCCTAGGAGGGAAGGCGGGGGTGAGGGGAGGCTTCGAGGGACGCTCAGCAGCCGGGAGGCCCGGACTCCTGGCTCCGCGCGCCAGGGCCGGCCCGCCCCGCGTCCATCCCAGCCCGAGAGTGATGATCCGCCGGCGGAGCAGCCGCAGCAGCCCCGCGCGTCACCGCGCGGCCGCCTCCCCCGCCCCCTGCCGAGAGAGCGGCGCACACCCCCCGCTCGCACCCCCCGCTCGCACCCGCCTGCCCGCCCGCCCTCCGGAGAATGGGGGGATTGGAGATGGTGGGAAGAGGCGGGAGCGGACAGACGGACAGATGGACGTAGCGGGCCAGGGCAGGGTGGAGACATTCCCCCGGATCTCCCACCCTCGGGGCTCTCGCGGTCTCGGAGGGCTGGCGGGGGGGAGAATATCTTAACTACAGGGGGCGGGGCATCATACAAAGAAGGCGGAGCCTTCAGACATGGGGGAGGGGCCATTTGTGCAGTGGGCGGGGTTTACTGGCAATAGGTGGGGCTTTGCTATCTTTCGGGCCGCCTCTTTTTGGTAGTGGGTTTGATTTGAAGCTGAACAGGAGGAGCCTGTGGAAAAAGGGGCGGAACTTTGAGAGAAGACCGGGATCTTTGGAAATTGGCCGGAGCATGGGGGTGGGGGGTTCGAAGAGGCGATCAACTTGGAAAGTGGGCCAATCCTTGACGCAAATCCCCCTAGTCCCGCCCTCAACCCCGCCCCCCCACTGCTTAGCTCCTCTGTTCCTAATTGGTGCTGGTTTCTCCGCCCGCCAGACGTCTTCGCCACTCTGCAGCGGTTTTACAAAGGCGGGTGAAGAGCGCAATGCTGAAATGAACACGGCCCGGATTGGGCGCCTGTGAACCTTATTTGCATGGGCGGTCGGGATTGGCTGGCCTCTTGGGTGGCCTGGGCGGCGTTGGTCCGGTGCGTCCTGTTCTACAGCTATGGCCGGGCCAGCTGCAGCTTTCCGCCGCTTGGGCGCCTTGTCCGGAGCTGCGGCCTTAGGCTTCGCTTCCTACGGGGCGCACGGTCAGGGGGCTGGGGACGAAGATGGGACTGTACTTGGGGCGTCCTCTGGGGTCTGCTGCAAGGGCGTAACCTATGGGAGGTGCCCGGCCTCTCGTTTATCAGACAGTCCGCGGAGCCCTAAACCTTTTAAAGTCCCCCAGCTGGGTCCAATTGGTTCCCAGTACTGCCCGAGCGTGTTCCCACCAATCGGAAGCTTCCTGGGGCGGGGGGGGGGGTGCCCTTTCTCGCCAATGTCCACCTGGGTCCCCCCGGATTGGGGGCGGTCAGGGCTGGCACTAGGACCGCTAACCTTTGCTTCTTTTCTCCACAGGCGCCCAATTCCCAGATGCCTACGGGAAGGAGGTGAAGTAACTGCGCTGGGGCTCCCTGACTCGTGGGTCTACGAAGGCACAAAGTCTGGGGTCCCTGGGGGAAGTGGGCGGGGAGAGGGTGGGGCGAGCCGCGGATCTCTGGAGCAGCAAAGGCCAAAGGCTCTGTAAGCCAAAGGCCTGGGATCAAGCTGGGACTTCAAGGGTGGGGTGGGGGAAGGAACTTTGGTCCCTTGTGTCATCAGGGGATCTCAGTACCTGTATTGCCTACGACATCCCTTCGTTTCTGTTTTTCTTACAGCTGTTTGACAAGGCCAACAAACACCACTTCTTACACAGCCTGGCCCTGTTAGGGGTGCCCCATTGCAGAAAGCCACTCTGGGTAATCTTTCCCTGCGCCTAACCCTGACCAAGCCCCACACACTCCCTCTCAGCCTGCCCTGTTCTTAACAATCCTGTTTTCTGTGCTGTGTCTCCTTCAGGCTGGGTTATTGCTAGCTTCCGGAACGACCTTATTCTGCACCAGCTTTTACTACCAGGCTCTGAGTGGAGACCCCAGCATCCAGACTTTGGCCCCTGCGGGAGGGACCCTGCTACTCTTGGGCTGGCTTGCCTTGGCTCTTTGAGCTCCCTTTTGCTTAATTACTGGGTTTTCTGGGCAGTTTTTTTTTTAAAGAGTTGGAGTAAGAAGAGGATTAAAAAGGAAAGGCAAATAAACTTTGGAGTCTTTGTTCATCTAACCTCTTGGAGGACGAAGGGTGGGGATTCAACCTCTGAACTCCCTCCATTTCCTAAGACTTAATCAGTGAGCCTTAGGTCTGGGGATTCTGGTCACTTTAAGTTAACTTATTATAATGTTCTTACCCTGGTGGGCATCAAAGTCATAAAGAATGCTTGAAATAACACAGATTCCTACTGAAGCACTCTTTCGGGCCTGAGAATCTGTATTTTAATAAGCTCATCTTGTGGTTCTGATGCATACTAGGTTTTTAATTTTATTATTATTATTATTATTATTTTGAGATGGAGTCTTGCTCTGTCGCCCAGGCTGGAATACAGTGGCGCGACCTCGGCTCACTGCAACCTCTGCCTCCCAGGTTCAAGCGATTCTCCTGCCTCGGCCTCCTGAATAGCTGGGATTACAGGCGCCTGCCACCATGCCCAACTAATTTTTTGTATTTTTAGTAGACACGGGGTTGTGCCATGTTGGCAAGGCTGGTTTTGAACTCCCGACCTCAGGTGATCCGCCTGCCTTGGCCTCCCAAAGTGCTGTGATTACAGGTATGAGCCACCACGCCCGGCCTGTTTTTATTTTTATTTTTATTTTTTTGAGACAGAGTTTCACTCTGTTGCCCAGGCTGGAGTGCAGTGGTGCGATTTTGGTTCACTGCAACCTCCACCTCCTGAGTTCAAGTGATTCTCCTGCCTCAGCCTCCCAAGTAGCTGAGATTATAGGTGCATGCCACCATGCCTGGCTAATTTTTGTATTTTTAGTAGAGATGGGGTTTCACCATATTGGCGAAGCTGGTCTTGAACTCCTGACCTCAAGCAATTCACCCGCCTCAGCCTCCCAAAGTACTGGGATTTTAAAAAATTACTATAGGGTCATGGTTTTCAGCCCTGTTGTTATCAGCACCCACTTACTCTAGAAGTGAGGATTAAGGCAAGGCAGGATAGGAGTGTCATTAGTTACAAAATACTTTGGGGTTCAAAGCAGGGACAGATCATGTATTGGGGATCAGAAAATGTGTCACAATGCTTGAGATGATCCTTAAAGGAGCTCTATTGTATGGAAGAAACAATGAACAAAGAACAAGATGGAGAGGGGAGGGGTTTGGAGAAGCAGGAGTCTTCAATGTGGGCTGAGTTTGAGTTAGGTAGGAAAGGAGTGAGAAAAGGTGGCAGGACAGGCTGGAGTGGCAGTCACAGCATGTAGAGAACTGGAAGATATTTAGTGGGGACAGTATTTATTTATTGTGACGCAGTCTTGCCCTGTTACCCAGGCAGGAGTGCAGTGGCACGATCTCAGCTCACTGCAACCTCCGCCTCCCGGGTTCAAGTGATTCTCCTGCCTCAGCCTCCCGAGTAGCTGGGATTACAGGCGCCCGCAACCGCGCCCGGCTAATTTTTGTATTTTTAGTAGAGACGGGGTTTTGCCATGTTGGCCAGGCTGGTCTCAAACTCCCGACCTCAAGTGATCCACCTGCCTCAGCCTTCCAAAGTGCTGGCATTACAGGTGTGAGCCACTGCTCCTGGCAGGCACAGTATTTATTAAACCAGTGTTGATCATGCGTCAGACACGTTACAAGGAAGATCAACCCTGAGGGAGACAGATATCCCCTCCCTCAAGGAGTTTCCCATCTAGTAGTGGAAATGGACCTGAAATAACTAAACATTTATAAAATTTGCAAAACATGTATCATTACAAATTGTGCTGCATGCTGAAAGGAAAGGAACAGAGAGGACCCTGTGCGATGGCTCAAGCCTGTGATCCCAACATTTTGGAAGGCGGACGTGGGAACATTGCTCGAGCCCAGGAGTTCGAGACCAGCCTGGATAACACAGGGAGACCCCTGTCTTTACAAAAATAAAAAAATAGCGAGGCGTGGTGGCTCACGCCTGTAATCCTAGCACTTTGGGAGGCCGAGGTGGGCGGATCACAAGGTCAGGAGATCGACACTATCCTGGCTAACACGGTGAAACCCCGTCTCTCCTGAAAATACAAAAAAAAATTAGCTGGGCGTGGTGCCGGGCGCCTGTAGTCCCAGCTACTCGGGAGGCTGAGGCAGGAGAATGGCATGAGGCTGAGGCAGGAGAATGGCATGAACCCAGGAGGCGGAGCTTGCAGTGAGCCGAGATAGTGCCACTGCACTCCAGCCTGGGCGACAGAGCGAGACTCCGTCTCAAAAAATAAATAAATGAATAAATAAAAATAAAAATAAAAATAAATAGCCATGGCCAGGTGCGGTGGCTCATGCCTGTAATCCCAGCACTTTGGGAGGCTGAGGCGGGTGGATCACGAGGTCAGGAGATCGAGACCATCCTGGCTAACACAGTGAAACCCCTGTCTCTACTAAAAATACAAAAAAATTAGCCGGGCATGGTGGTGGGAACCTGTGGTCCCAGCTACTCGGGAGGCTGAGGCAGGAGAATGGCGTGAACCCGGGAGGCGGAGCTTGCAGTGAGCCGCGATGGCGCCACTGCACTCCAGCCTGGGCGACAGAGCCAGACTCCGTCTCAAAAAAAAAAAAAAAAAAAAATAGCCAGGTGTAGTGGCTTGTGCCTGTAGCCTGCAGGCCCAGCTACTCGGGAGGCTGAGTTTGGAGGAACACATGTCTGGTTCCTGACTCATCTTTTTTTTTTTTTTTTTTTTTTTTGAGTCAGAGTTTCGCTGGTTGCCCAGGCTGGAGTGCAATGGTGCGATCTCGGCTCACTACAATGTCCGCCTCCTGGGTTCGAGCAATTTTCCTGAATCAGCCTCCCAAGTAGCTGGAATTACAGGCATGCGCCACCATGCCCGGCAAATTTTGTATTTTTAGTAGAGACAGGGTTTCTTCATGCTGGTCAGGCTAATCTCAAACTCGCGACCTCAGGTGATCCGCCCGCCTCGGCCTCCCAAAGTGCTGGGATTACAGACATGAGCCACTGTGCCTGGCCTCTGACTCATCTTTAAAATGAAGAAATATTGTGATCTACGAGTGTACCTCAAATTATGCCATCTCCCTGGATATACATGCTTCATTGGCTCCCCTTTGCCCTCAGAAGACAGTACAACATCTCCGCACAAGGCCCTCCACCATTTGGCCCTGTCATCCTTCTCACAATCCTCAGGCCAGCCCCTAGGAATTCCTTCAGGTCTCTAACACACTCTCTTGCTTCAGGGAAGCCTGGAAAGCTGCTGTTACAGGAGTCGGGAGCTCAGTAGAGACTAGTGTTGGTGATAGAAATTCTGCAATTAAAAGCATGCAGATTGTAACTAGAGATACGGAATGAGATGAAATTACCTAAAATCTTCTCATTAGAGAAAAAATCTGCACACTTTTAAAAATGCATACCGGCAGGGCACAGTGGCTCACACCTGTAATCCCAGCACTTTGGGAGGCTGAGGCATGCAAATCAAGAGGTCAGGAGTTTGAGACCAGGCTGGGCAACATGGTGAAACCCTGTCTCTACTAAAAATTTAAAAAATTAGCTGGGCGTAGTGGTGGGTGCCTGTAATCCCAGCTACTCGGGAGGCTGAGGCAGGAGAATCGCTTGAACCCAGGAGGCGGAGGTTGCAGTGAGCCAAGATCATGTCATTGCACCACTCCAGCCCAGGCGACAGAGTAAGACTCTGTCTCAAAAAAAAAAAAAAAAAAAAAAAAAAAAAGCATACCTTCAGGCCAGTCGCAGCAGCTCACGCCTGTAGTCCCAGCACCTGTAATCCTGGGAGGCTGAGGCAGGTGGATAACATGAGTCCAGGAGTTCGAGACGAGCCTGGCCAACATGGTGAAATGCCGTCTCTACTAAAAATACACAAATTAGCTGGCGTGGTGGTGCATGGTGCTTGTAATCCCAACTACTTGGGTGTCTGAGGCACGAGGATCGCTTGAACCCAGGAGGCGGAGGTTGCAGTGAGCCAAGATCGTGTCACTGCTCTCCAGCCTGGGCAACAGAGCAAGACCTGTCTCAAAAAAGAAAAAAATGCATACCTTCAGAAAAATTAAGTATGCCTTCAATATATTATACAGATTGTACTATATAAAGCATACACAAAAATAGAAATTAAAAATGATGATAGCTGGGTGCGGTGGTGTGTGCCTATAGTCTCACCTACTCAGGAGGCTGAGGCAGAAGGATTGCTTGAGGTTAGGAGTTTGAGACTAGTGTGCTAAGATCAAGCCTGTGAATAGCCACTATACTCCAGCCTGGGCAACACAGCAAGACCCCATCTCAAAAAAAAAAAAAAGAGTGACTTAAACTTTTCAATGACTTACTTACTACTGCACTGCAAATAGATTCCAAGTGCCATACCACTGTCTCCAAGGCCTGCACTGGCCATCCGGGCTTTGTGATTCTTTGTCACTACATGGCATCCACATTGCCAACCCACCACATTTTCTTCTGCCTCAAGATTTTGAGCTGCTCTTTTCAGCCTGTTTTGCAGTTATTCTTTGTGCCTAGAATACACTTCTACACTTTGTGCAAGCTTAGTTTAGCTTCAATAGGATCACCTTGGTGAGGCCTTCCACATCTGAAGGGGCACACCCTCCACCCTCCAGCTGTTCCACCGCCTCTCTGTGCTTTTTCGTTTTGTTTGAGACAGGGTCTCGCTTTGTCACCCAGCTGTAATGCAGTGGTGCCATAAGGACTCGCTGCAGTCTCCATCTCCCAGGGTCAAGCAATTCTCTCACCTCGGCCTCCCGAGTAGCTGGGACTACAGGTGTAAGCTACCACGACTAGCTAATTATTACTTTTTTGTAGAGATGGGGTCTTGCCGGGTGCGGTGGCTCATGCCTGTAATCCCAACACTTTGGGAGGCCGAGGCGGGCAGATCACAAGTTCAGGAGTTCGAGACCAGCCTGTCCGGCATGGTGAAACCCAATCTCTACTAAAAATACAAAAATTATCAGGGTATGGTGGTGCGCACCTGTAGTCCCAGCTACTCGGGAGGCTGAGGCAGGAGAATTGCTTGAACCCAGGAGGTTCAAGAAAGAGATGAGATGGGGTCTCACCATGTCGGCTGCCTAGGCTAGTCTCGAACTGCTAGGCTCAAGCAATCCTCCTGCTTCAGCCCCCTACCCAGTTACTTGGGAGGCTACAGTGGGAGAATAGCTAGAGCTCAGGCGTTCAAGAGCAGCCTGGGCAACATAGTGAGATGCTGTCTCTAAAAAAATAAAAATATCCCAGCACTTTGGGAGGCCGAGGCAGGTGGATGACCTGAGGTCAGGAGTTCAAGAACAGCCTGGCCAAAGTGGTGAAACGCTGTCTCTACTAAAAATACAAAAATTATCTAGGTGTGGTGGCAGGCACCTGTAATCCCAGCTACTCAGGAGGCTGAGGCAGGAGAATCGCTTAAACCTGGGAGGCCATTGCACTCCAGCCTGGGCAACGAGAGCAAAACTCCATCTCAAAAATAATAATAATAATAATAAAATAATAATAATGTGGTAGTATGTGCCTGTAGTCCCAGCTTGAGGATCCCCAGGCATGAGGATAGCTTGAGCCTAAGAATTTTGTTTTGTTTTTGTTTGAGATGTAGTCTCGCTCTGTTGCCCAGGCTGGAATGCAGTGGTGCAATCTCAGCTTGCTGCAGCCTCTGCCTCCCGGGTTCAAGCGATTCTCATGCCTCAGCCTCCTGAGTAGCTGGGATTACAGGCATGTGCCAACCACGCCTGGGCAATTTTTTTGTATTTTTAGTGGAGACGGGGTTTCACTGTGTTGGCCGGGCTGGTCTCAAACTCCTGATCTTCAGTGCTCTGCCTGCCTGGGCAGAGTGGGATTAGAGATGTGAAGTACTGGAATTAGAGATGTGAGCCACTGTGCCCGGCCGAACCTAGGAGTTTGAGGCTGCAGTGATCTCTGATGGTGCCACTGCACTCCCTCCTGGGTGACGGAGCAAGACCTCAGTCTCATAAATAAATAAATAAATATGCTGGGTGTGATGGCCCACACCTGTAATCTCAGCACTTTCGGAGGCTGAGGCAGGTGTACTGTTGGAGCCCAGGAGTTGAAGACCAGCCTGGGCAACATGGCAAAACCCCATCTCTACAAAAAATACAAAAATTAGCTGGACATGGTGGCCCATGCCTGTAGTCCCAGGTACTCGGGAGGCTGAGGTGGGAGGATGCCTTGATCCTGGGAAACAGAAGTTGTAATGAGTGGAGATCATGCCACTGTATTCCAGCCTGGGCAACAGAGCAAGACCCTGTCTCAATAAACAAACAAACAAACAAACAAACAAACCCTTAGAGGGGACCTCCAGAGTGGCCCAAAGGGGCTGGGTGCAGTAGCTCATGCCTGTAATCCCAACACTTTGGGAGGCCAAGGTGTAAGGATCACTTGAGGCCAAGAGTTCCAGACCGGCCTGGCCAACATGCAGAAACCCTGTCTCTACTAAAAATACAAAAATTAGCCGGGTGTGGTGGCTGTAGTCCTGGCTGCTTGGGAGGCTGAGGCAGAAGAATTGCTTGAGCCTGGGAGGTGGAGGTTGCAGTGAGCCAAGATAGCGCCACTGCACTCCAGCCTGGGTGGCAGAGTGAGACTCTCAAAAAAACAGAAAAACCAGAGTGACCCAAAGGTCCAGTGGCAGAGCCAAGGCTGGGTCTGTAGGCTCCTTCCTCCCAGTCCAGTGCTCTCACTGCATTTCCATCCTTCACCTCAGGTGGCATCTAGGGCACAGGGGGAACCTCCACATGGAGAACCACTGCAGTACGTCTCACGTCTCTTCTCTGTCCAGACCCTCCAACATTTCCCATCTCAGGGTATAATTCAGTGGACTAAAAGGCCATGCGTGACCTGGCTTCTTGTGACCCCTCTGACCTTCCCCTCATTAACTCCATTCCAGTCTCACTGGTCTTCTGCCTCAGGACCTATGCCCTTGCTGTTCCCTCTGCCTGAAACACTTACCCAGTAATCTGCACAGCTCAGTCCCTCATCTCCTTTAGGTTCTGGGTCAACTATCATCTTCTTTCTTTCTTTCTTTCTTTTCTTTCTTTTTTTTTTTTGAGACGGAGTCTTGCTTTGTCGCCAGGCTGGAGTGCAGTGGCAAGATCTCAGCTCACTACAACCTCTGCCTCCCAGGTTCAAGCGATTCCCCTGCCTCAGCCTCCCGAGTAGCTGGGACTACAAGCGCCCGCCACCACACCTGGCTAATTTTTTTGTATTTTAGTAGAGACGGGGTTTCACCATATTGGCCAGGATGGTCTCCATCTCCTGACCTCATGATTCGCCTGCCTCGGCCTCCCAAAGTGCTGGGATTACAGGCGTGAGCCACCGTGCCCGGCCTAACTATCGCCTTATTGGTGATGCCTTCGCCTTATTGGTGATGTCTAAATAAATATTTATTTATTTATTTATTTATTTTGAGATGGAGTCTCGCTCTGTTGCCCAGGCTGGAGTGCAATGGCGTAATCTCGGCTCACTGCAACCTCTGCCTCCCGGGTTCAAGAGTTTCTCCTACCTCAGCCTCCTGCATAGCTGGGACTACAGGCGCCCGCCACCACACCCGGCTAATTTTTGTATTTTTAGTAGAGATGGGTTTTTGCCATGTTGGCCAGGCTGGTCTCAAACTCCTGACCTCAGGTGATCCGCCCACCTCGGCCTCCCAAAGTGCTGGAATTACAGGCGTGAGCCACCGCGCCCCGCCACGATCTTTCTAAAACACACATTTGACCTTCTTTGTTCTAAAAATGTCTCGGTGGACTCCTCGCTGCTCGTGGGGCCAAATCGCAGCTTCCACACAACCCGCCCTGTATGTGGACTGCACTCCGTTTCTAAACTCATCTCTTGCGCCACTCAGCCAGTGGCCCCCAAGGCAGGACTGGTCCTGGCTCAGGATCCAGTCGAAGACACTCATCTCGGGGGTCTTTTCTGACCGCGCTTCCTCCTCTGGCCCTCTAGGCGGCCTGAGCACGCTCACTGACACCGTTTGGCGGCCTGTCACCCGCGTGGCTGGGGCACCTGCAGAAACTGCTGTCGCTGCGAGGTGCCCGTGTGGGTCACCGCTGTGCCAGGGAGAGAAGACGGCGAGGTCGCCCCTGGGAGGCAGAAGGCGAGCCAGGAGCCAGTCCTGGAAGCCAATGAGTGAGTGTGAAGGGTGTTCCGCTGCGTCAGCGAGGCCCGACTGCCCTTGGGAGGAGGAGCCCAGGGGCCAGCGCGGCCCGGGCCGCCCTCGCCTCCCACCCAGGGCGCTGAGCACGCACGCCGCCGGCCTGGCGGCGTTCGCGGGGCCCGGGACCAGCCGCCGCCTTCTCCAGGCGCTCCTACTCTCTGGGCATCTGCAGTCCGAGCGGAAGGGGCGGGAACGTCGGCGACGCCGAGGAGCAAAGCCCACGATCGGCTTCCCGGGGCAGCGGACGGCTGCCTTCCTCCCGGCGCAAACGCACCGCCCAGGAGGGGGCGGGCTCGGCGGGTCGGGGGGCGGGGCCGGGGTCCGAGCTCGGGCCCGCCTCCGCCTCCGCCAGCTCCTGTGAGCTGCCGAGTGCTAGGCACCCGGGCTCTTCTGGGGGCTCCAGGTGAGCGGGGGCACAGAGGGGTCAGGGAGACCGCCCTTGGGGTGGGGCTGTCGGTCTGACCGCGGGTCCATCTGTCCTGCCGTCGGCCCACAGCCTCCTCCGCAGGATGGGAGAACAAAGGGAGGGGGCGGTTCTGGGGCCCCCGAGGGAATCCAGGGTCCCAGGTACCCGGTCCCGCCCACTGACACTTGGGTTTCTCCCCGAGTCAGAGGCGCCGCCCAAGAGACCCTGGGCCGGCGCCGGGCGCAGCTGCCTCTCCGTCTTTGTGTCTGTCTCTGTGTCTGTCTGGCTATCTCCGAGTTTGCCTCCGCTTCCAGAACTAAGCCACCCAGACACCATCATCTCGAAAACCCCAGCCCTTCTCCCATGGCAGGTAAGTGCGCGCAAGTCTGGGGGTCTCCGTTATCCCCCCCACGGACTTGGGAGCCGGGTTTG
This sequence comes from Homo sapiens, assembly GCF_000001405.40. NCBI lineage: Eukaryota > Metazoa > Chordata > Mammalia > Primates > Hominidae > Homo > Homo sapiens. The sequence goes on along the minus strand of NW_016107299.1, from coordinate 14,498 downwards.
AACACATCCTCCCGGAATGTGCTCGGACTGGCTGGGTGGGGCCCCTCCCTTCCTTCCGGGGAACCTCCACCCTGCTCCCCTGCCCCATCTTTCTCTGCCTCTTGCCACCACGTTTCCCCCGAAGCCTCGCGGCCCATGGGCTGAGGAATAAGGGGATGAGGCCTTGAGTCCCTTTCTAATCTATCCTGCTCCCACCGCTTTACAGGCTACTTGCCCCCCAAAGGCTACGCCCCTTCGCCCCCACCTCCCTACCCTGTCACCCCTGGGTACCCGGAGCCGGCGCTACATCCTGGGCCCGGGCAGGCGCCAGTGCCCGCCCAGGTACCTGCCCCAGCTCCCGGCTTCGCCCTCTTCCCCTCGCCTGGCCCCGTGGCCTTGGGGTCTGCTGCCCCCTTCTTGCCACTGCCAGGGGTGCCTTCTGGCCTCGAATTCCTGGTGCAGGTGAGTGGGAAGGAGGGAGGGAGGATGACTGGGAGGGGACTTGGGCGTCCAGATGGGCCAGCTGATGTGCGCGCCGCCCCTCTCTTTCCAGATTGATCAGATTTTGATTCACCAGAAGGCTGAGCGAGTGGAAAGTAAGTAGAAGGAGTGGGAGGTTGGACCTCATGATGGTGGCCCGGATGGTGGGCTCCTGGGCGCGCGAGGCTCTACGAGTCTCCCCGTGTCACCTCGGGCAGCGTTCCTAGGCTGGGAGACCTGTAATCGGTATGAACTGCGCTCTGGGGCCGGGCAGCCCCTGGGTCAGGCGGCCGAGGAGAGCAACTGCTGCGCCCGTCTGTGCTGTGGCGCCCGCCGGCCGCTGCGTGTCCGCCTGGCCGACCCCGGGGACCGTGAGGTGCTGCGTTTGCTCCGCCCGCTGCACTGTGGCTGCAGCTGCTGCCCCTGTGGCCTCCAGGAGGTGGGCGGAGGGAGGGGGCCGGGAGGGCGGGCCTTGGTGGGGCGGGACAATGATGAGGTCCACCTGAGATGAGGCCTGGATCAGGTGGGAGTGGGCAGGTGGGGATGGGAGGTTTAGTGAGGGCCAAATAGACAGATGATAGAGCTGGGACCCCTGCCTCCGCAGTGACCCTGTCTGCTTCCCACTCCCAGATGGAAGTACAGGCTCCACCAGGCACCACCATTGGCCACGTGCTACAGACCTGGCATCCCTTCCTCCCCAAGTTCTCCATCCAGGATGCCGATCGCCAGACAGTCTTGCGAGTGGTGGGGCCCTGCTGGACCTGTGGCTGTGGCACAGACACCAACTTTGAGGTATCAGGAATACTAGAGGCTCTTGGGACCTTCGTAAACCAAGATGATGCTTCCATGAGGCAGGATAGTTAACATTAAGGTCAAGACCCTGAGCTCATCAATCCAAATCCACTGTGACTCCGACCGCATTTGTAGCATTCCTCCATTTGGAAATAGGATGGCCCTGTGCTCTTATAAAAGCATAACAACGAGGATTTCATCTTAAGGAGCAATGCTGATTATTACAAGTGGCCCTGAGATGGGCAGAAAAAAAATCTAAGGCCAGCCTGGATTTGGGGTGAAGGACGATTAAGTCTGTGTGGGCCGGGCCCATGTGGCTGCTGTGTATGAGTGTGTGAGCCCAGGCCCTGGAGCAAGCACGATTTTAACATGTTAACATCCTGTGGCCTGCCCTGCTAAAATAGAATCCAAATGCCCCTGCCATTCCGAAATCCAGTATATCCTTCTCACTGTGCATTCCTGTCACCAGTCTGGAAGCTAGAGATCCCAAGTGGCAAGAATTTCAGAGTGAGGTGAGGCCTGGGAAGCACCTTGGTTTCTAGAAGACAAAGGCACTCCACAGACCCTTGAGTTCTTTTTTTGTTTGTTTTTTGTTTGTTTGTTTTGAGACAGAGTCTTGCTCTTGTTGCCCAGGTGGGAGTGCTATGGCATGATCTCAGCTCACTGCAGTCTTTGCCTCCCGGGTTCAAGCAATTCTCCTGCCTAAACCTCCCGAGTAGCTAGGATTACAGGCATGCGCCGCCATGCCTGGCTAATTTTATATTTTTAGTAGAGACGAGGTTTCTCCATGTTGGTCAGGCTGGTCTCGAACTCCTGACCTCAGGTGATCCGCCCACCTCAGCCTCCCAAAGTGCTGGGATTACAGGCGTGAGCCACCGCACCTGACCGACCCTTGAGTTCTTTAAGGGATAATTGCTTGTGCAGATAAGGGAGAAACAACAGGTATAATCCAGTAGACTTTCCAACGCTTCTAATGAGGTACCCTACCTAAGGTTACTTTGCAAAAATGAGTCACCTTGGTAGCCAGAGGGAGATTCCATGATGAGAACCAATTGGGAATAAGATATAATAACTGCGTGATCTCCAGATGGGAATGTATAGGCTGTGGGGTTCTCATAGGGCCAGTGTCCCTTTTGCATAATTATAAATGGTCCATACTTGGGGCTGTACCCTTAGGACCATGGCAGGAAGTGCCCCAGAGCTGTAGGACAGTGCAGGAAGGGGATGGGAATGGCACAAAAGGAAATCACTGCAGTTCTAATCACTGGAGAACGAGCACAGGAAAAGGACCAGGAAGTCACGGGGAGTAACTACCCACATCAGCAGAGCCTGTTGCTGTGTGGCTCAGAGAAGCCAGTGGAAATTGTGGTCCTCAAAGGCTACTTACTGCTGCCTCTCTCCACAGTAGATAGGCATGTATCCCTCTCTAGATGAGGCTCTCATGCAGTGCTGGGCAAGGCCCTCCCCTACTTTGCAGATTAGAGAAAAGGTACTCTTCGGGGTAGACATAGCCTTCTAGGAGCCTTCTTGACTGGTGAAGTACAGCCAGAATTCCAGTAGCTTTCCTTGCCCTTTTGGCCAGGTTACTTTGTGTAGGGCACAAGCTGTGCCAATTGTGGGTGGCAGGGGCATTGGGAACCAGAGCAAACCTAGCAAACAGCCATACCCTAAGGGGGTTGGATTGTCATGCTTCCATTTCTCCCACCACTGATGTTCAGTTATGTCATGCGTCGCCTTTCGATAGCAGCAGATCTGAGTCTGAATCCTAATTTTGGGTATAGACTCAGCGTGATCTAGAGTGCCTCAGTTTCCCCAGCTGTCATACTCTGTGATGGGAACCAGTTAGGAAAGCGATCACTCGGTGACCATTAGAGGGGAAGATTCACTGAGTGGAGACCCTGCAAATTCATACGTGCGACTGTGGGAATGAGACTGGAGCAGGTGAGACTGGCTGCCTCCTCCTCAGCTGGGTCCTTTCTCCCTCCCTGATGACAGGTGAAGACTCGGGATGAATCCCGCAGTGTGGGCCGCATCAGCAAGCAGTGGGGGGGCCTGGTCCGAGAAGCCCTCACAGATGCAGATGACTTTGGCCTACAGTTCCCGCTGGACCTGGATGTGAGGGTGAAGGCTGTGCTGCTGGGAGCCACATTCCTCATTGTGAGTTGGCTGCCCCTGCCCCCACCTCCTGCCTGTCCTTTGCTGTCATTTGAAGCTTTATGCATTTCCTGGCCTCTTGCTAGGGGAAAGTCAGGAATAGGTGTTGTGGGGGTTGAGGTTCTAGAGCTGGCCTGTGACAGCCAAGCTGGGCTGGCCCAGCCGGATCTCCCATTGACAGTGGCCTCCTCTTAGGACTACATGTTCTTTGAGAAGCGAGGAGGCGCTGGGCCCTCTGCCGTCACCAGTTAGAGGCCACCATGGTGTGAGGAGACCATCACCTCGACCAGAACTCCAGATGGTCACCTGCCCTGGCCCCTCCTCTGGGCAGCCCCTTTCCTCCATGTACACTGCAGGGGACAGAAGGGGGGCCCCATCCCTACCCTACTCCCTGGCCGCCTGCCCCTGTGGTTCCCAAGGAGGGGTATGTATGAGAGCCGCTCTCCTGCTACCTCCCACCACTGTCCCAGCAGTCCCTCGGCACACAGGCATATCAGCTTTCACACTTTCCCCATGCACTCTCTCCCACCCCCTTCCAGGGCCTCTGCTCCAAAGGAGGCCTCTGGAACCCAGGACTCTGGGGTTTTACAAGAGGGCTGGGGTGTGGAAGGGCAAGCTGCACCAAAGACGGTGGATATAGCCACCGCCCCCCCGCCGCTGCCTAGCATCTGCTTGGCCAATTAGTTCAGCCTCAGACCATGGCACTTTGAGGGGGTCTCTACCTCCCCATCAACAGCTGCAGGGGGACCCCAGTGCCAACTTCCTCTCCCACTAGGGCCCTGCCTTCAGCTGGTGCTTGCTGCGATTCCTGTGCCTTATGTAACTGCCCTTCCTTCCCTTGCCCTAGGAAAAAGGCTGCATCTTTATATGTTACATTCATATAAACTTTGTAACTTTTTGGACATTGAAAGATGTATGTAATAGGGGAGGGTAGAAGCAGTTGGTATGGGAAAAAACAAAGGGGAATGTGAGAGCTGGGCTGGGGCAGGGGCTAGTCCATCTCATAATCCATACTACCAGCATCAAATGTCCTTGAGTGCAAGAGAGCAATCGTCATCACCCACGATGGCCCTGGACCAAACGAAGGCAGTTTGGGCCTATACCCCAAGTCAATATGGTGGCTTCCATCATCCAGGATGGCTGCCCTGCAGAGTCCAGTGTGGTAGCTGATGGCAGTTCAGGATGGCTGTTCACATGGTCCAGTGTGGCCCCTTGATCCTCTCTAGCGCGTAGAAGCTTCCTCTGCATATGATGTATAGCAGCTCTTTTCTTCCAAGTCCTCTTGTTTGAGAATGTAGTGGGCAGACTAGATCCTTCTTGGCCCAGCCAAAGGAGCTTCAGCCTTCAGAAGCCAAGGAGCATGGGAGGGAGGAGACATTTGCCAGTGCCCAACTCTGGGCTCCTCCTCCATGTGCCTACGGCAGGTGGGATCTCCCCAGGTGGAACGTCTACCCCTGTCGGGACCTTGTTCTGGTTCCGCTTGGTCCCATGTGGCCAGGCCCTCAGGGGCCTAGGCTTTTCATGCTGGTGTCTGTGCCCGCAGAAGCTGAGCTCAGGGCCTGGCCAGGACATAGCGGCTGGCAGCTGAGAGGTCCCACTGGTAATGCTCCAGGATGCGCCAGCAGTCAGCTCTGGACCGGCTACTCAGGTGGAAGAGCTGATCTACCTGTGGAAGCAGGAGGGTGGGTTGCAGCTGACTGCCAGGCGGCAGGGGCAGGAGAGGAGGGACCCCAAGAGAAGGGGCTGGCTTTACCTTGAGGTTCCGGATGGCAGAAACCACATCTCCCCCAGTGGCTCCTAGTGCTGTCTGGCACTCCTGGTGGGTGACCCCATGCACACTCAGCTCCACCTGTGACAGACAAAGCCTCACTCAGGCCCCTGCCCCTGCCTGTAGCCCCTTCTGGACACCAGGCCATTTCAGTGAGACCTCACCTCCATAATCTTCCTCTGCAACTCAGGATCGGACAAGAGGCCTCCAGAGAGGGCAGCGGCTTTACGGGCTCCAGGCATTCCCATGGGGTGATTGTGTGGGGGTTTTCTTTTGGGCCAGGGAAGCCTCTCCCTAGAGGGCTGGCTGGGCTGAGGAGAGCTAGAGGATAAAGGTGGGCGTGGAGGCAGGCCTGGAGGTCCCTGGGGCACAGCTCTGGCTTGTCGAATTTCAGGGGGGCTTGAACCACCCCCTGTGGGACGAGGACCGAGGGACAGAACTGACTCCAGACTCCTGGAAATGCCTGCACAGTTGAGAAGGAAACAACTTGAACTCGGCTGGCTGCAGCCTCCGCCTCCCGGGCTCAAGCGATCCTCCCACCTCAGCCTCCCGAGTAGCTGGGACTATAGGTGCCTGCCATTACGACTGGCTAATTTTTGTATTTTTGTAGAGAAGGGGTTTCGGCACATTGCCCAGGCTGGTCTCAAACTCCTGGACTCAAGCCATCCACCCACGCTGGGCTCCCAAAGTGCTGGGATTACAGGCTTGAGCCACCATGCCTGGCCCCACTCTCTGTCTTCATCTGTGCTGAGCTGGATGGTTTTGCAAGCATTTGCAGATGAGCTAGCCAGCCCTGTCCCTGGGTGGTTCATGTGTCAGGTGGGACAATAAGACAGATGGGCAAGTGGACACCAAGGCCTAGGCGGAGGGCCCAGAGAACTCAGAGCTCAGGGCCCAGAGTGTGGAGGTGCTCTTCAGAAGGGAAGGCAGGAGGGCTTCCTATCTTTTAAGATTCCACAGTATAGGGCCGGACGCAGTGTCTCACGCCTGTAATCCCAGCACTTTGAGAGGCCGAGGCAGGCAGATCACCCGAGGTGGGGAGTTCAAGGCCAGCCTGGGCAACAGGGTGAAACCTCATCTCTACTAAAAATACAAAATTAGCCGGGTGTGGTGGCACATGCCTGTAGTCCCAGCTACTCGGGAGGCTGAGGCAGGAGAATCGCTTGAACCCGGGAGGTGGAGGTTGCGGTGAGCCAAGATCACGCTACTGCACTCCAGCCTGGGCAAAAAGAGTGAAACTCTGTCTCAAAAAAAAAAAAAAAAAATAGATTGCACAGTATAGCTAGGATGCCAGCAGACAGAATTCAGAGGAAGGAAATAATAGATGCAAAGGCATGGATTTAGGGCAGGGGGTCGGAATTGAAGGACTGGTCTTGATCTCCTCAGAGACTCTGGAGTCCACCACACCCACCTTTCATCCTCTCCAGGGGCATGTTCCTCCTCTGGCCCCGTGCTGGGGGCGCATCCCAAAGATTTGCCTTCTTTCTGTCTCTGTCGGAGAGGGATCCAGTTCATCCTCCACACCAACTCTCCCCACCCCACAGATCAATATACCCTCCCAAAAAAACTCACAGGGGAACCCAGGAGACCCAGGGCCCAGGGTGGAGGCTGCAGCTTCACTCTGGTCCTGTCCCCAGGCTTCTCTTCCAGAGAAGCTCCTGGACCTCATCAGTTCTCCCAGCCAACCCCTGCCCTCACCCTTTCAGGTCCTCACCCATCTATGCTTCCTGGGTGTTGATCTCCCCGGGCAGGGGTGCCTCTGTGGACTGGACGGGTGGCTGGCAAGCCCCCCGCATCTGCCAGCGTCACTGCCGAGGCTGGGAAGCTGCCCACTTTGAAGGTGCGACCATTCTGGCCCTTCCAGATTGTGGAGTCGGGGCTGTGGAAAGAGGAGCTGGTAAATAGGATGGGAATAAGGGCAAGAGTTAGGGCTGGGCCCTGGCCCACAGTCAGCTCACTAGGCTATGTGCCTTGGAGCCGCATCTGCCTGGAGGAAGGGAAGCCTTTTCCCTAATGCAATAAGGCTCTATGGGCCAGCAGTGGCTCCAGCAGGGAGGCCAGGACCATGCTGGAGCTTTCAGGACCCAGTGGGGAGAGGAGATGAGACAGAAGATCAGGGTTCAAGGAGCTGGAGAGAAGCAGAGAAGGGATCAGGAATTAGGCTGGGAGGGTATCCTCCTCCTGAGGGTGCTTGGGAGGTATGGGACTGTCACCTGCCCTCGATGACTGTGATGGGGTCACCAGTCTCCATCCTCAGGGCGCCTGGTTCTGTGACATCCCTCACACAACATGCTTCCGAAGGCCCGGCCTGTGGAGACAAGAGGAAAGGGTGGCTGGGCTTGTGGCCTGAGTCAGATAGGTAATATGGGAGCAGGAATAAAGAGGAGCTCCGCTCTGTATGTAGTCTGTGCTGGGCCCAGGGTGGGACTCTCCCTGTCCCCCCATTGTAATTCAGTGAGGGAGGCAGACCTGGATCCCATGACAAACAGGTCAGGGCTCAAGGAGCAAGAGAGGAGGGCCCTGGCTCTACCTGGGGGGACTAACAGGAGCGTCATCCTGTACACTGCTTTCACTCCACATCCAGGCCTGTCAGAGCAGCCTCCCAAGCCCCTCTGGGAAATTTCCACTCCTCTGCAGCCCCACCGCCTCTACCCTCATCCAGACCTCTTCATCTCCCTTCTGCTTCACAGCCACTGTTGCCTACCTGGTCTCCCAGCCTCAGCATCATCCCTCTAATCCATTCTTGCGCCACATCAGAGTGCCGTCATGGTGAGAGTGGCTTGTAACTCCCCTGCCTAATAGGCTTCCCTGGCTCCCAAATGCCTTCAGAGTAAAGACTAAGCTTTAGTGGTAGAGTGTAGCAGCTTAGGGAACAGCTCTGAAGTCAAACTGACTGGCTCAAATCCCAACTCCTCCACTTACCATGTGACTTTAGGCAAGTCACTTAAACTCTCAGTGCCTCAACTGCCCATCAGTAACATGGAGATAATAATTACCTCATCCAGGCCGGGCACGGTGGCTCATGCCTGTAATCCCAACACTTTGGGAGGCCAAGGCAGGTGGATCATTTGAGGTCAGGAGTTCGAAACCAGCCTGGCCAACATGGTGAAACCCCATCTCTACTAAAAATACAAAAATTAGCCAGGCGTGGTGGCAGGCGCCTGTAATCCCAGCTACTCGGGAGGCTGAAACAGGAGAATTGCTTGAACCCAGGAGGCGGAGGTTGCAGTGAGCCAAGATCCCACCACTGCACTCCAGCTAGGGTGACAGAGCAAGACTGTCTCAAAATAAAATACTACTAATAATAATTACCTCATCCAGTGGTTGAGAGCATTAAATGAGCGAATCTGCATAAGCGCCCATGTAAAGTGCACAGTGCAGTGTCCTGCACAGGTCAAGTGCTCTACGTGTTAGCTTAACACGCCTTGCAAAGCCCTCCATGACACAGCTCCTGCTCTCTCTGTGGCCTCATTACTTCTTCTTCTTCTTCTTTTTTTTTTTTTTGAGACGGAGTTCGCTCTTTTTGCCCAGGCTGGAGTGCGATGGTGTGATCTCGGCTCACCGCAACCTCTGCCTCCCAGGTTCAAGCGATTCTCCTGCCTCAGCCTCCCGAGTAGCTGGGATTACAGGCATGCACCACCAGACCCAGCTAATTTTGTATTTTTTAGTAGAGACGGGGTTTCTCCATGTTGGTCAGGCTGGTCTTGAACTCCCGACCTCAGGTGATCTGCCCACCTCCGCCTCCCAAAGTGCTGGGATTAGAGACGTGAGCCACCGCGCCCGGCCTGCGGCTTCATTATTTCTATTTTCCCCTCCCACGCTGAGCCCTTCTCTTCCTCTGCGTGTCAACACGACTGCAACTGAGTGCTGTCTCCTCTATGCCCCTTTCCTGGCCCAGACACAGACCCCAGCCTTTCAGTCTGCATCTGTGTAGCCCCAAGCTGCCTCCCCAGGGCTCTGATCTCCCTGCAGGTAGGGACTGCATCTGTTTTGCTCAGAGCTGAGTCCCAGAGCCCAGCACAGACATCTAGATGTGTTAGTCTTCGCATGGAACCCTGGGAGAGCGAATGGAGGGAAGAGGGACTGTGTATCTGGTGAGGTCGGGGGTTCCCACCTCTTGCAGCAGCCCCTCCAGGTGGGAAAAGCTAGGCCGGTCGGCAGGGTGGGGGGCCCAGCAGCGCAAGGCGAGGGAGTAGAGGGCCCTGGAGCAGAGGGGAGGCCTAGGCAGCCGGGCTCTGTCCTCCAGCCGCTGCAGGATGAGGTACGGTGGGACCCCGGCCCAGGGTTCCTCGCCCCCGGAGAACATCTCCCACAGCGTCACCCCAAACATCCACACGTCCGAGGCAGACGAGAAGGCTCCGTGGCGCAGGCTCTCTGGGGCACACCTGCCGAAGGAAGTGGAGCTGAAAGGGGCGGGACACGTGCTCCTTGGAGGCCCACCCTCCACGGAGCACCCCCGAGTGCACCCATCTTTCACAAAAGTCCTCTTTGCCTAGGAGGATAACCCTTCTGGTCCAAGCCTCCCTCAGAAGCCCGGCCCCCTCCGATCTCCCTCGGCTGCTGCCCTCCGGATCCGCCCGGCTCAGAGCCCGACCGCCCGCGGACCCGCTCTCACCAGGCGTAGGGGATAGGGCGGGGCCCGCCCATGACGTAGCGGCCCCGGGCACCGCCCAGAGGCCGCACCAGCCCGAAGTCAGCCACCTTGATGGTGCGCGGCGACGCCAGCAGTAGGTTGCGCGTAGCGAGGTCTCGGTGCACCAGCCCGCGGGCCCCCAGGTACGCCATGGCTCCCGCCAGCTGCCGCAGGAAGAGGCAGAGCAGGGCCACGAGCAGCGGGGGTGTCGGGGCCGGGGCCGTTAGGCGCGCGTGCAGGGAGCCCAGTGGCGCCAGCTCCATCACCTGCAGGAGGGAACACCGCGCCGCGTGAGCCGGACCCATTGGACCCTGGCCGCCCACGCTCCTGCCGCACGGCTGTCCCGGGAACCAGCGGCTGGATCTGCTCACCATCTGCAGAGGCTGGCCCAGTACAAGGCCGTGCAGACGCAGCACGTGTGGGTGCTCCAAGTTCATCATGACCGATACCTCTCGCAGGAAGTCCCCCAGTTCTGTGCCCATCGGGCCTTCGGGACCTACCCGGAGGGACTTGACAGCCACTGGGACCTGGAGGTGGGGGGAAGCGCCTTTAGGCATTGCGGGCATGAAGAACAGAGGGGGCAGCTGGCCTGGATGAAGCGGGCTCCCTGGACACTCACACTCTTGCCACTGGGCAGCGTCCACAGCCCTCGGTGCACCACACCGAAGCAGCCTGAACCCAGCAGCTCCCCTCTGCAAACAGCACCCTCTGGGATCAGACACTTGAGGCCCCCCTCTGGCTCAGGGAGGTGCCGTGGGCTGTCCGAGGGCAGGGTGGGCTCCTTGTGCTCAGGGGCAAAACCTCCAAGGATCTGAAACAGGGATGGGAAATCCGGTATGCAGAGCCCTGCGCCCCCCTCCCTGCCCCTCAAGCCACCTCATTCCCAGGCCCAAGCTGCCCACCTACAACACACACCTTGTAGACCCAGTTCTTAGACTTAGGCCCAGAACGTAGCCTTTTCAGAGCTTCGGACAGTCTGCGCTGGGCTGTGGGAGGCCAGAATCAGGGCTGGAGTGGAGGTGGGTGTGGGGAAGAGTGCGGAGAGACTTACAGGGAAGAAAAGGGCTGGAAGAGGGTTGTGGTGGGGGAAGGCAACTGATAGGCTGTGGACAGAGAGACCAGGGCCTCGGGGCAGGGGTCCCTCACCAGGCCGGCCCATGCCAATGCCGTCCAGGTCCTCAGGCTTTACAAAGTCGAAGTGCTCTGGCCGAGTGACATTAAGCTCCTCAAGGATGGGCCAGTAAAACTGGGCCAACTGGATGTCCCGGAGCAGCTTCAGTAGCCACAGGGAGCCAGCCTCAGGAAGCATGTCTGGAGAAGGAGTTCCTAAGGATGATGGCACTCTCCTTCAGATGGTGAGCTCAGGGTAGGCCCTAGAGAGACCAGGTCTCCAGCTCCACCTGCAAGTCATTAGAAACACTCAGGTACAGAGGCAGGGACACAGCAGAGACAGCCAGGATCCCTGCCACTCACGCACACAAATCCCAGATAGAATGTTCCCCGTGCCCAGGCATCCGGGTACTCTGTCCCTTCACCGCTGAGTAACCTGCCCTGCTCACACCTGCAATTTTAGCATACTGCCTGCTCCTACTACAGACTCCAGGTATGTTACCATCCTGACTCTGAAATATCACGGCACATCACACACCCGGACACCCAGAAACACTGCCCTTTTAGACCTGAGCTACGCAGTGGCACAAACTCACTCATACACACCTGAGACGACATCTCCCTTCCTCCAACATGAGACATCTCCCTTCCTCCAACATGAGACATGTTTGCCTACCACACACACTGGAGATGCTCAGATATGACAACCACACCATACCTCAGACATGTAGGTAGAGCACGCACACACACGAAGGTACACTGCCTCCCACATGCTGCCACACACACACACTGAGACCTACAGATATACTGCAAAACATGGCCGAGACTCCCAAATACATGTCCTCTTTTTTTTTTTTTTTGAGACGGAGTCTCGCTCTGTCATCTAGGCTGGAATGCAGTGGCGTGATCTCAGCTCGCTGCAACCTCCGCCTCCCGGGTTCAAGCAATTCTTCTGCCTCAGCCTCCCAAGTAGCTGGGACTACAGGCGCGTGCCACCATGCCCGGCTATTTTTTGTATTTTTAGTAGAGATGGGGTTTCACCATATTGGCCAGGCTGGTCTTGAACTCCTGACCTCGTGATCCGCCCGCCTCGGCCACCCAAAGTGCTGGGATTACAGGCGTGAGCCACTGCGCCCGGCCGATATATGTCGTCTTAACGCTGAGACATTTCAGCATGCGGCCACAAAACGCCCAGGCTCATCTGTGTCCTTCCATGAGATGTTCCTTGTACATACGTGTCACATCCATGGGACATGGCAGTTCACTGCCTCCAAACACCTAGATACACTGCCCCACACGGCTAAGACACAAAGGTCCACATGAACACAACACACAGACATCGAGGTACAGTGTGCACACAGCATACCTGAGCTATGGGGGCATAGGGACCCCTCAAGCCAAAAGAGGTCCACAGTCATTGCCTCTCCTCCACCGGAGGCAGCAACATTTGAAATCAAATCAGGCACTTGTGATGGCCGCTAGGCTTAGGTGCTGCCTATGGAGCCACTGAGGCTGTCAGGTACACAGTCCCACACCTACCTGAGCTCAGCCCCAGGCACAGATGCCTGCTGGCAGCCTGAGTCACTCGGTCTAACTTGGCTTCAAGGCAACTCCACCAACCTTTGTTAAATAAGGCTCTGGGCCTCTGGGTACTGGCAGCCTGCTCACACTTTCCCTAGCACACTCCTGGACCCGTCCCTTCCCCTACATTATAAGCAAGGAGGAAGAAGAGGATCGAGGCTGGGCCTAGTTGGAAACGCGCAGGTGGACTCAGAACCGGGCGCGAACAGGGTTGGGTTGGGAAGGAGAAAGCCCAGGACCCTGGGGGACCCGGCCCTGCGCGCTCGGTGGGAAGCGGGGAGCGCAGAAGGGAGACAGGAGGAAGCGCGGCTGCGGGAGGGAAGGACGCAGGAGAAGAGGACAGGCCCAGCGCCCCCCGGACGCGCCCCCAGCGACGGCTGCTCCGCCGGCTCTCCCCAGCCCGGGCCCCCTGCTCGGTCCGGACCCTCACCTGGTCAAGGCGGAAGCGGCGACTGCGGAACCTCCCAGGCTGCCTGGGCTAAATCCGAGGAGGCGGGACAGGAGTAAATCCCGCGGAGGGCGGGGACCTGGCCGCTGGCCCGGGGCCGGCGAGGGCCGCACCCCGAGTTCCCTAGTGGGACAAGGTGACGGTCCCCAGGGCGACTGGCGGCCCCTCCCTCCTCCAGACCAGATCGCCCCGACTGTGAGAAGCCCCCTTCCCTTCTCCTCTGCTCGTCTTCCTTCACGTCTTTCCAGCCTTCTCCGAATAGCTTCCCAGCCCTCCCCAGACTTCACTCCTCTGTCTCTGTCCCCCATGCCCTCTCGCCAAATCCTTCACCTCTCAGCCAGGACCCTACCTCTTACATGAATAAGCGCCCGATAGAGCTATCCTGTCCACGCACAGGGAATATAAGGCTAAATAGGACACAGTTCCTGCCCCATGGCAGGGGGTTCAGAGCTTCCTAGCAGGCTTTACTTAATGAACCCTGGAATGGGGCCAGGGCAGAGAGATGTTGATGCTGGTACGGAGAGTTGGCCCTGGCCTAGACAGAGTCTACAGTTGAAGCTGTTGTTGATCACCGGCAGCATTCCATGCCTCAGGGCACGCTTCCCCATTACTGACACTCCTGGGCTTCCTTCCAGCGTAACGCCTGCTCTCCATGCAAGCTCTGCAGAACTCAGGGCCCTGCACACTGCTACCTAGCCTGTGGCCACTGGGACTAAGTCCAGGACCTTGAAGAAGGCCCTGAGGAGGACCATTTGTCTCCGCTTCTCTCAGGGGTCCCAGAGAGGAAGCTGCCAGTCTTAGGACATCTAGTCTGTCCCCTGTCCCAAGGAAGGACGCGTGAACATAGCAGCTGCTGTCCCAAGGGTCCCTTGGAGGGAAAAGCCCTCCTGGTCTTGGTAAACATGTAGGATGTTTGATCCCAACTGCCACCTCCACGTTTCCCAGCCTCGGGTCCTCTTCTTCCTCCTTGCTTATAATGTGGGGTAAGGGAGGGGTCCAGATGTCTGTAAGGGAAAGTGTGAGCAGGCAGCCAGTACCCAGAGACCCAGAGCCTTATTTAATAAAGGCTGGTGGAGTTGCCTTGAAACCAAGTTAGACCGAGTGACTCTCAGGCTGCCAGCAAGGATCTGTGCTTGGGGGCCAGTCCCTGTGTGGATCCTACGTGGGATAGGAAAATCTTCATAATGCTGTTCTATGGTATTGTTTTCTTGCCGATTCTTTTGCCCTCCAACCAGGATCGCTCATCACACTATAATTGTTACTGCACATCTGCGATCCCTGTTAGAGGTTCTGTAGCTCCACAGGGTAGGGGCTGGGCCTGGCTTGTTCATACTTGTGTTCTAAGTACCTAGGACAGTGTGGGCATATAATAGGCCTGATACATGTTGGTTGTAAAGAAGTCTCCTCAGTCTAATCCTCATTGTTGTGTAGATGATCTCTTTTTACTCCCTGCTTTTAAGATATCATTGGTGTTTTGTAGTTTTGTCACAATGTATCTAGATGTTTATTTATTCTATTTATTCTGCTCAATATGTTGTACTTCCTGTATGTAT